>NT_187497.1:66967-103838 GCF_000001405.40 Homo sapiens | reverse complement strand
CACTGCTCTTGGGTTCTCAGTGTTTGTCCCACATGTACGATTCCAGAACACTGCTACATGGGTCTAAAGGTTTGTGCCTCACATAGGATTCCAGAATACTGCTACGAGGATCTGAATGTTTGTCCCGCACATAGGATTCCACAACACTCCTGCTGTGGTCTAAATGTTTGTTCCTCACATGGGTTTCAGATCACTCCTGCTGTGGTCTAAAAGTTTGTTCCTCACATATTATTTGAGATCACTGCTGCTGTCGTCTGAATTTTTGTCCCTCACATAGGATTCCACAACACTACTGCTGTGGACTGAATGTATGTCCCTCTCTTAGGATTCCAGAACACTGCTGTTTTGAGTGTTTGTCCCTCACGTAGGATTCCAGAACACTGTTACGTGGGTCTGAATGTTCTTCCCTCAGATAGGATTCCAGAACACTGCTACGAAGTTGTGAATGTTTGTCTTGCACATAGGATTCCAGAACACTCCTGCTGTGTTCTAAATGTTTGTTCCTCACAAAGGATTTCGGAACAATCTTGCTGTCGTCTGAATGTTTGTCCCTCACATAGAATTCCAGAGCACTCCAGCTGTGATCTAAATGTTTGTTTCTCAGGTAGGATTTCAGAACACCCCTGCTGTCTTCAGAAGGTTTGTCCCTCACATGGGATTCCAAAACACTCCTGCTGTGGTCTGAAAGTTTGTTCCTCACTTAGGATTCCAGAACACTGCTGTTGTGTTCTGAGTCTTTGTCCTTCTTGTACGATTCCAGAACACAGCCACGTGGGTCTGAATGTTTGTCCTTCACATATGATTCCAGACGCTGCTACGAGGGACGAAATATTTGTACCACACATAGGACTCCAGAACACTCCTGCTGTGTTCTGAATGTTTGTCCCTCACAAAGGATTCCAGAATACTGCTGCGAGGGTCTGAATGTTTGTCCCACACATAGGATTCCAGAACACTCCTGCAGTGGTCTAAATGTTTGTTCCTCACACAGAGTTTCAGAATAATCCTGCTGTCGTCTGAATTTATGTCCCTCACATAGGATTCCAGAACACTCCAGCTGTGTTCTAAATGCTTGTTCCTCACGTAGGATTACAGAACACTCCTGCTGTCTTCAGAATGTTAGTCCCTCACATAGGACTCCAGAACACTCCTGCTGTGGTCTGAATTTTTGTCCCTCGCTTAGGATTCCAGAACACTGCTGTTGGGTTCTGAGTGTTTGTCCCTCAGGTACGATTCAAGAACACTGCCACGTGGGTCTAAATGTTTGTCCCTCACATAGGATTCCAGACACAGCTACGAGGGTCTGAACTTTTACCCGCACATAGGACTTCAGAACACTCCTGCTGTGTTCTGAATGTTTGTCCCTCACATAGGATTTCAGAACAATGCTACGATGGTCTGAATGTTTGTCCCACACGTAGGGTCCAGAACACCCCAGCTGTGGTCTGAATGACTGTCCCTGACATGCGATTCCCAAACACCGCCGCTGGGTTCTGAGTGTTTCTCACTTAGATAGGATTCCAGAACACTGATATGAGGGTATCAATGACTGAACCTCACATAGGATTCCAGAACACTCCTGCAATTGTCTGAGTGTTTGTCCCTCACATAGGATTGCTGAACACTCCTGCTGTGGTCTAAATGTTTGTTCCTAACCTAAAATTTTAGAACACTCCTGCTGTCATCTGAATGTTTGTCCCTCACATAAGATTCCACAAGAATGCTACGAGTGTCTGAATGTTTATCCCACACTTAGGATTTCAGAGCACCCCAGTATTGGTCTGAAAGATTGTCTCTCTCATAGGATTCCAGAACACTGCTGGTGGGTTCTGAGTGTTTCTCCCTCACATTGGATTCCAGAACACTGCTACGAGGTTCTGAATGATTGTACCTCACCTAGGATTCCAGAAAACTGCTAGGAGGGTCTGAATGTTTGTCCCTCACATAGGATTCCAGAATATTGCTACGAGGGTCTAAAAGTTTTTCCTCACATAGGACTCCACAACACTCCTGCTTTGTTCTAAATGTCCCTCACATAGGATTCCAGAACAATTCTCCGAGGGTCTGGACGTTTGCCCCACACGTAGGAATCCAGAACACCCCACCTGTGGTCTGAATGATTGTCTCTCACATAAGATTCCAGAACACTGCTGCTGGGTTCTGAATGTTTCTCCCTCACATAGGATTCCAGAACACTGCTACGAGGGTCTGAATGTACGTCACATAGGATTGCAGAACACTCTTGTTAATGTCTGAATGTTTATCCCTCACATAGGATTCCAGAACACTCCTGCTGTGGTCTAAATGTTTGTTCCTCACTAAGGATTTCAGAACATTCCTGCTGTCGTCTGAATGTTTGTCCCTCACATAGGATACCACTACACTCCTGCTGTGGATTGAATGTTTCTCCCTCCTTTAGGGTTCCAGAAAACTGTTTTTGGGTTCTGAGTGTTTGTCCCTCACGTACGATTCAAGAAAACTGCTAGGTGGGTCTAAATATTTGTCCCTCACATAGGATTCGAGAACCATGCTACGAGAGTCTGCATGTTTGTCCCGCACGTAGGACTCAACAACACTCCTGCTGTGTTCTGAATGTTTGTCCCTCACATAGGATTCCAGAACAATGCTACAAGTGTCTGAATGTTTGTCCCACGCGTAGGATTCCAGGACACCCCAGCTGTGGTCTGAATGACTGTCCCTGACATTCGATTCCAGAGCACTGCTACTGGGTTCTGAGTGTTTCTCCCTCAGATAAGATTTCAGAACACTGCTACGAGGGCATGAATGACTGAACCTCACGTAGGATTCCAGAACACTCCTGCTGTTGTCTGAGTGTTTGTCTCTCACATAGGATTCCTGAACACTCCTGCTGTGGTCGAAATGTTTGTTCCTCACTTATGATTTCAGAATACTCCTGCTGTCATCTGAATGTTTGTACCTCACGTAGGATTCCAGAGACATTGCTGTTGGGTTCTGACTGTGTGTCCCTCACGTAAGATTCAAGTACACAGCTACGTGGGTCTAAATGATTCTCCCTCGTATAGGATTCCAAAACACTGCTATGAGGTTCTGAATGTTTGTCCCACACATAAAATTCCAGAACACTCCTGCTGTGGTATAAATGTTTGTACCTCACATAGGATTTCAGAACATTCCTACTGTCGTCTGAATGTCTGTCCTTCACAGAGGATTGCAGAACACCCCTGCTGTGCACTGACTGTTTGTCCCTCACTCAGAATTCCAGAACACTGCAGTTGGGTCCTGATTGTTTGTCCCTCACGTACAATTCCAGAACATTGCCACTTGGGTCTAAAAGTGTGTTACTCACATAGGAATCAAGAACACTGCTACCAGGGTCTGAATGTTTGTCCCTAACATAGGATTCCATATCACTCCTCCTGTGGTCTAAATGTTTGCTCCTTACATAGGATTTCAGAACCATTCTGCTGTCGTCTGAATGTTTGTCCGGCATATAGGATTCCAGAATTCTCCTGCAGTGGTCTAAATGTTTGTTCCTTACATAGGATTTCAGAACACTCCTGCTGTGGTGTAAATGCTTGTTCCTCACTTAGGATTTCAGAACGCTCCTGCTGTCATCTGAATATTTGTCCCTCACATAGGATTCCAGAACGCTCCTGATGTGGTGTGAATGTTTGTCCCTCACATAGGATTCCATATCATTCCTGCTGTGCTCATATCACACTGCTGCGTGGGTATAAATCTTTGTCCCTCAGATAGGATTCTAGAACACTGCTATGGAGTATGAATGTGTGTCCTGCACATAGGATTCCAGAACACTCCTGTTTTGGTCTGAATATTTGTCCCTCACTTAGGATTCCAGAACACTGCTGTTGGGTGGTGAATGTTTGTACCTCACGAAGGGTTCCAGAACACAGCTACATTGTTCTAATGTTTGTCCCTCACATAGGATTCCAGAACACTGCTACGAAGGTCTGAATGTTGCTCCCTCACATGGGATTCCAGAACACTACTGCTGTGGTCTGTTTGTTCCTCACATAAGATTTCAGAATACTCCTGCTGTCTTCTGAATGTTTGTCCCTCACATAGGATTCCAGAACATTCCTGCTGTGTACTGAATGTTTGTCCCTCACTTAGGATTCCAGAACACTGTTGGGTTCTGAGTGTTCGTCCCTCACGTATGATTCCAGAACACTGCTACGTGTGTCTAAAGGTTTGTCCCTCACAAAATATTCCAGAACACTGCTATGAGGGTCTGAATGTTTGTCCCACACATGGGATTCCATAACCCTCCTGCTTTGGTCTAAATGTTTCTTCCTCACATAGGATTTCAGAACACTCGCTCTGTCGACTGATGGTCCCTCCCATACGATTAGAGAACAAACCTGCTGTGGTCCAAATGTTTGTTCCTAACATCTGATTTCAGAACACTCCTGCTGTTGTCTGAATGTTTGTCCCTCCCATAGGTTTCCAGAACACTCCTCCTGTGGTCTGAATGTTTGTCCCTCACTTAGGATTCCAGAACAATGCTATCGTGCTCTGAGTGTTGGTCCCTCATGTATGATTCCAGAACACTGTTACATGTGTCTGAATGTTTCTCCCACATATAGGATTCCAGAACACTGGGACGAGGGTCTGAATGTTTGTCCCACACATAGGATTCCAGAACATTCCCGCTGTTGTCGAAATGTTTGTTCCTCACATAGGATTTCAGAACACTCCTGCTGTAGTCTGAATGATTGTCCCTCACATAGGATTCCAGAACAATACTGCTGTGGCCTAAATGTTTGTCCCTCACTTAGGAATCCAGAACACTGCTGTTGGGTTCTGAGTGTATGTACCTCACGTACGATTCCAGAACACTGCTATGTGGGTCTAAATGTTTGTTCTTCACGGAGGATTCGAGCACACTGCTATGAGGTTCTGAATGTTTGTCCCTCACATAGGATTCCAGAACACTCCTGCTGTGGACTGAATGTCCCTAACTTAGGATTCCAGAACACTGTTGTGGGGTTCTGATTGTTTTTCCCTCTCTTACAGTTCCAGAACACTGCTACGTGGCTCTAATGGTTTCTCCGTCACAAAGGATTCCAAACACTGATACAAGGCTCTGAATATTTGTCCTGCACACAGGATTCCAGAACACTAACGCTGTTTTCTAAATATATGTTCTTCACATAGGATTGCAGAACACTCCTGCTGTCGTCTGAATGTTTATCCCTCACATAGGATTCCAGAGAACTCCCGCTGTGGACTGAATGTTTGTCCCTCACTTAGGATTCCAGAACACTACTGTGCGGTTCTGAGTGTTTGTCCCTCACATACGATTCCAGAACACTGCTACATGGGTCTAAATGTTTATTCCTCACCTAGGATTACAGAACACTGCTACGAGGTTCTGAATGTTTGTCCCACACATAGGATTCTAGAACACTCCTACTGTGGTCTAAATGTTGTTCCTCACATAGGATTCCAGAACACTCCTACTGTGGTCTAAATGTTGTTCCTCACATAGGATTCCAGAACACTCCTGCTGTCATCTGAATGTTTGTCCCTCACATAGGATTCCAGAACACCCCTGCTGTGGTACAAATGTTTGCTCCTCACATAGGATTCCAGAACACTGCTACGTGGGTCTAATTATTTGTCCCCCACATAGGATTCCAGAACACTGCTACAAGGGTCTGACTGTTTGTCCCGCACAAAGGACACCAGAACACTCCGGTGGGCTCCGGAAGTATTTTCCTCACATAGGATTCCAGAAAAATGCTACAAGGTTCTGAATTTTATTCCCACACGTTGGATTCCAGAACACCCCAGCTGTGGTCTGAATGATTGTCCTTCACATAGGATTCCTGTACACTGCTATGAGGGTCTGAATGTTTTCCCGCACATAGGACTCCAGAACACTCTTGCAGTATTCTCAATGTATTGTCCTCAATTAGGCTTCTAGAAAAATGCTACGAGGTTCTGAATGTTTGTACCACAGGCAGGATTCCAGAACACCCTAGCTGTGGTCCTAATGATTGTCCATCACATAGGATTCCAGAACACTGCTATTGGGTTCTCAGTGTTTCTACCTCACATAGGATTCCAGAACAATGCTATGAGGATCTGAATGATTGTACATCACATAGGATTCCAGAACACTCCTGCTGTTGTCTGAATATTTGTCCCTCAGGTAGGATTCGAGAACACTGCTGCTGGGTTCTGAGAGTTAGTCCCTCACATAGGATTCCAGAACCCTGCTGCTGTGGTCTGAATGTTTGTCCCTCACATAGGATTCCAGAACACTACTGCTGTGGTCTGTATGGTTGACCCTCAAATTGGATTCCAGAACACTCCTGCTTTTGTCACGGTGTTTGTGTCTTACATCGGATTCCAGAAAAATCTTGCTGTGGTCTGAATATTTCTCTCTCACATAGGATTGCAAAACATTCCTGCTGTGGTCTGAGTGTTTGTTCCTTAAATAGGATTCCAGAACACTGCTGCTGTGGTCAGAATCTTTGTTCCTCACATAGGATTCCAGAACACTCCTACTGTGAGCTGAATGTTTGTCTCTCATATAGTATTCCAGGACACTACTGCTGTGTTCTGAATGGTTGACCCTCACATAGCATTCCAGAACACCCCTCCTGTGTTTTGGGTGTTTTTGCCTCACATGGGATTCGAAAACAATCCTGCTGTTGTCTGAATGTTTCTCCTTCACATAGGATTCCAAACATTCCTGCTCTGGTCTGAGCGTTGGTCCCTCAAATGGAATTCCAGAATAATGGTACTGAGTTCTGAGTTTTGTCCCTCACATTGGATTCAAGAACACTGCCACGAGGGTCTCAATTATTCTACCTCGCAGAGGATTCCAGAACACCCCTGCTGTGGTCTGAATGTTTGTCCCTCACTTAGGTTTCCAGAACTCTGCTGTTGGATTCTGAGTGTTTGTCCCTCAGGTACGATTGCAGAACACTGGTATATGGGTCTAAATGTTTGGCCCTCACATAGGATTCCAGAACACTGCTACGAGGGTCTGAATGTTTGTCCTGCTGATAGGATTCCAGAACACTCCTGCAGTGTTCTGAATGTATTTTCCTCACGAGATTCCAGAACAATGCTACGAGGGTCTTAATGTTTATCCCTCACATGGGATTCCAGAACACCTCAGCTGTGGTCTGAATGGTTGTCTCTCACATAGGATTCCAGAACACTGCTGTTGGGTTCTGAGTGTTTCTTCCTCATATAGGATTCCAGAACACTGCTATTGGGGTCTGAATATTTATCCCTACATAGTGTTCCAGAATACTGCTACGAGGGTCTCAATTATTCTGCCTCACTTAGGATTCCAGAACACTCCCGCTGTGGTCTGAATGTTTGTCCCTCACTTAGGATTCCAGAACACTGCTGTTGGGTTCTGAGTGTTTGTCCCTCACTTATGCTTCAAGAACACTGCTACGTGGGTCTAAATGTTTGTCCCTTACAGAGGATTCCGCAGCACTTATACGTGGGTCTGAATGTTTGTCCCGCACATTGGACTCCAGAACACTCCTGCTGTGTTCTGAATGTATTTACTCACATCGGATTCCAGAACAATGCTACAAGGGTCTAAATGTTTGTCTCACACGTAGGATTCCAGAAAACCAAAGCTGTGACCTGAATGATTCTCCCTTACATAGGATTCCAGAAGACTGCTGCTGATTTCTGTGTTTTTCTCTCTCACATAGGATACCACAGCACTGCTACGAGGATCTGAATGATTGTTCCTCACATAAGATTCCAGAACACTCCTGCTCTGATCTAAATGTTTATCCCTCAGATGGGATTCCAGAACACTGCTGCTGTGGTCAGAATCTTTGTTCCTCACATAGGATTCCAGAACACTCCTGCTGTGAACTGAATGTTTGTCTCTCATATAGTATTCCAGGACACTACTGCTGTGTTCTGAATGGTTGACCCTCACATAGGATTCCAGAACACCCCTCCTGCGTTCTGGGTGTTTTTGCCTCACATGGAATTCCAGAACAATCCTGCTGTGGTCTGAATGTTTCTCCCCCACATAGGATTCCAAAACTTTCCTGCTGTGGTCTGAATGTTTGTCCCTCAAATAGTATTCTGGAACACTGCTACTGTGTTCTAAGTGTTTCTCCACCGTATAGCATCCCAGAACACTGCCACTTGGGTCTAAATGTTTCCCCCTCACGTAGGATTCCAGAACAGTGCTACAAGGGGCTGAATTTTTGTCCCGCACATAGGACTCCAGAACACTCATGCTGTTTCCTGAATGCATTTTCCTCACCTAGGACTCCACAACAATGGTACGATGGTCTGAATGTTTGCCCCTGAAGTAGGATTCCAGAAAACCCGAGCTGTGGTCTGAATGTTTTTCCCTCACATAGGATTCCACAACACTTCTACTGGGGTCTGATTTGTCCCTCTCATAGGATTCCAGAACACTGCTAAGAGGGTCTGAATTATTCACCCTCACATTGGATTCCAGAACACTCCTGCTGTGGTCTGATTGTTTTTCACCAACTTAGGATTACAGAACACTCCTTTTTTTTTTTGAGTGTTTGTCCCTCACGTACAATTCAATAACACTGCTATGTGGGTCTAAATGTTTGTCCTCACTTAGAATTCCAGAGCACTGCTACGAGGGCCTGAATTTTTGTCCCCCACAAGGGACTCCAGAACTCTTCTGCTGTGTTCTGAATGTATTTTCCTCACATAGGATTCCAGAGCAAGGCTACGAGGGTCTGAAAGTTTGTCCCACACTTAGGATACCAGAACACCACAGCTGTGGTCTCAATGATTGTCCCTCACATGGGATTCCAGAACTCCGCTGCTGGGTTCTGAGTGTTTCTCCCTCATATATGATTCCAGAAATCTCCTATTCTGGTCTGAATGTTTGACCCTCAGTTAGGATTCCAGAACACTGCAGTTGGTTTTTGAGTGTTTGTCTCACACCTACGATTCCAGAAAACTGCTAAATGGTTCTGAAGGTTTGTCCTCATATGGGATTCCAGAACATGGCTATGAGGTTCTCAATTATTGTACCTCACATAGGATTGCAGAACACTCCTGCTGTGGTCTGAATGTTGTCCCTGAGATACGATTCCAGAACACTGCTTTTGGGTTCTGAGTGTTTGTCCCTCATATAGGATTCCAGAACAATGCTGCTGCAGTCTGAATGTTTATCCCTCACATAGGATTCCAGAACAATCCTGCTGTGGTCTGAATGTTTGTCCCACATATAGGATTTCAGAACACTACAGCTGTGGTCTGAATGGTTGACCCTCACATAGGAATCCAGAACAATCTTGCTGTCGTCTGAATGTTTCTCCCTCACATAGGATTCCAAAAACATTCCTGCAGTGGTCTGAGTGTTTGTCCCTCAAACAGGATTCCAGACACTGCTACTGGGGTCTGAATGTTTGTCCCTCATATAGGATTACAGAATACTGCTATGAGGGTCTGAATTATTCTCCCTCACATAAGATTCCAAACACTCCTGATGTGGTCTGAATATTTCTCTCTCACTTAGGATTCCAGAACCCTGCTGTTGGGTTCTGAGTGTTTGTCCCTCACGTATGATTCCAGAACACCGCTACGTGTGTCTAAATGTTTTTCCTTCACATAGGATTCCAGAACAATGCTACGGGGATCTGAATGTTTGTCCCACACATTGGACTGCGGAAAACTCCTTCTGTATTCTGAATGAATTTTCCACACATAGCATTGCAGTACAATCCTACGAGGGTAGGAATGTTTGTCCCACAATAGGGTTCCAGAACACCCCAGCTGTCATGTGAATGGTTGACCATCACATAAGACTCCAGAACACTCCTGCTGTGGTCTGGGTGTTTGTGCCTCACATGGGATTCCAGAACCATCCTACTGTGGTCTGAATGTTTCCCCTTCACATAGGATTCCAAAACATTCCTGCCATGGTCTGATGGTTTTTCCTTCAAATTGGATTCCAGAACACTGCTACTGGGGTCTGAAAGTTTGTTCCTCACATAGGATTCCACAACACTGCTACGAGGGTCTGAATTATTCTCCCTCACAAAGGATTCCAGAACACTCCTACTGTGGTCTGAATGTTTGTCCCTCAATTCAGATTCCAGAACACTGCTGTTGGTTTCTCAGTGTTTGTCCCTTACGTACGATTCCAGAAGACTGCAACATTGGTCTAAATGTTTGCCCCTTCACATAGGATTCCAGAGCACTTCTACGAAAGTCTGAATGTTTGTCCCTTACATAGGACTCCAGAACACTCCTGCTGTGTTCCGAATGTATTTTCCTGTCATAGGATTCCAGAACAATGCTACGAGGGTCTGAATGTTTGTCCCACACATAGGATGTCAGAACACCCTAGCTTTAGGTCTGAATGATTGTCCCTCACAAAAGACTCCAGAAAAGTTCTGCTGGTTCTGAATGTTTCTCTCTCCCATAGGTCTCCAGAACACTGCTACGAGTGTCTGAATGATTGTACCTCACATAGGATTCCAGACCACTCCTGCTCTGGTCTGAATGTTTTTCATTCAAATAGGATTCCAGAACACTGCTGCTGTGGGCTGAATGTTTCTTCCTCACATAGGATTCGAGAACATTCCTGCTGTGGTCTGAATGTTTGTCCCTCATATAGGACTCCAGATCACTACTGCTGTGGTCTGAATGGTTGACCTCACATAGGATTCCAGAACACTCCTGCTGTGGTTTGGCTGTATGTGCATCACAAAGGATTCAAGAACAATCCTACTGTGGTCTGAATGTTTCTCCCTCATATAGGATTCCAAACATTCCTGCTCTGGTCTGAGTGTTGTTCCCTCAAATGGAATTCCAGAATAATGGTACTGAGTTCTGAGTTTTTATCCCTCACATTGGATACAAGAACACTGTCACGAGAGTCTCAATTATTCTACCTCACAGAGGATTCCAGAACACCCCTGCTGTGGTCTGAATGTTTGTCCGTCACTTAAGTTTCCAGAACTCTGCTGTTGGGTTCTGAGTGTTCGTCCCTCAGGTAAGATTACAGAACACTGCTACGTGGGTCTAAATGTTTGGCCCTCACATAGCATCCCAGAACACTGTTACGAGGGTCTGAAAGTTTGTCCCACTCATAGGATTCCAGAACACTCCTGAAGTGCTCTGAATGTATTTTCCTCACATGGGATTCCAGAACAATGCTACGAGGGTTTGAATGTTTGTCCCACAAGCAGGATTCCAGAACACTCCAGCTGTGGTCTGAATGATTGTCCCTCACATAGGATTCCAGAACACTGCTGCTGGGTTCTGAGTGTTTCTCCCTCACATAAGATTCCAGAACACTGCTACCGGGATCTGTATGTTTGTCCCTCACATAGTGTTCCAGAATAGTGCTACGAGTGTCTCAATTATTCTCCCTCACATAGGATTCCAGAAAACTCCTGCTGTGGTCTGAATGTTTGTCCCTCACTTAGGATTCCAGAACACTGCTGTTGTGTTCTGAGTGTTTGTCCCTCACATATGCTTCCAGAACAATGTTACCTGGGTCTAAATGTTTGTCCTTCACATAGGATTCCAGAACACAGCTACGTGGGTCTGAATGTTTGTCCCGCAAGTAGGATTCCAGAAGAGCAAAGCTGTGGTATGAATGATTGTCCCTCACATAGGATTCCAGAACATTGCTGCTGGTTTTTGTGTGTTTCTCCCTCACATAGGATACCACAACACTGCTACATGGATCTGAATGATTGCACCTCACAAAGGATGCCAGAACACTCCTGCTCTGGTTTGAATCTTTGTCCCTCAGTTAGGATTCTAGAACACTGCTGCTGTGTTCTGAGTGTTTTTCCCTGACATAGGATTCTAGAATACTGCTGCTGTGTCTGAAGGTTTGTTCCTCACACAGGACTCCAGAAAAATCCTGCTCTGGACTGAATGTTTGTCCCTCATATTGGATTCCAGAACGCTGCTGCAGTTGTCTGAATGGTTGACCCTCACATAGAATTCCAGAACATCCCTGCTTTGGTCTGGGTGTTTTTGCCTTACATGGGATTCCAGAAGAATCTTGCTGTAGTCTGAATGTTTCTCCCTCACATAGGATTCCAAAACTTTTCTGCTGTGGTCTCAGTGTTTGTCCGTCAAGTAGGATTCCAGAGCACTGTTACTGGTTTCTGAGTGTTTATCAATCACATAGGATTCCAGAACACTGCTATGTGGGTCTAAATATTTTTCCATCACATAGGATTCCAGAACACTGCTACGAGGGTCTGAATTTTTGTCCGGCACATAGGACTCCAGAACACTCCTGCTGAGTCCTGAATGTATTTTCCTCACATAGGATTCCACAACAATGCTTCGAGGCTCTGAATATTTGTCCTACACGTAGGATTCCAGAACAACCCAGCTGTGGTCTGAAAGATTGTTCCCCACATAAAATTCCAGAACACTTCTACTGGAGTCTGAATGTTTGTCTTTCACATAGGGTTCCAGAACACTGCTACGAGGGTCTGAATTACTCTCCCTCACATTGGATTCCAGAAAACTCCTTCTGTGGTCTGATTGTTTGTCCCTCACTTAGGATTACAGAACACTGCTGTTTTATTTTTTTGAGTGTTTGTCCCTCACGTACGATTCCAGAACAGTGCTATGAGTGTCTGAATTTCTGTCCTGCACATAGGAATCCAGAACGCCCCTGCTGTGTTCTGAATGTATTTTCCTCACATAAGATTCCAGAATTGTGCTACTAGTGTCTGAATGCTTTTCCCACACTTAGGATTCCAGAACACCACAGCTGTGGTCTGAATGATTGCCACTCAAATAGGATTACAGAACACTGATTCTGGGTTCTGAGTGTTTCTCCCTCACATAGGATTCCAGAACATTCCTGTTCTGGTTTGAATGTTTGTCCCTCACTTAGGATTCTAGAACACTGCTGTTGGGTTCTGAGTTTTTGTCCCTCACGTACGATTCCAGAACACTGCTATGTGGATCTAAAGGTTTTTCCTCACATAGGATTCCAGAACACGGCTATGAGGGGATGAATGATTGTCCTTCACATGGGATTCCAGTATACTGCTGGAGGGTTCTGAGAGTTTCTCCCTCACATACGATTCGAGAACACTGCTACAAGGCTCTGAATGATTGTACCTCACATGGAATTCCAGAGAACTCTTGCTCTCATCTGAATGTTTGTCCCTCAGATAGCATTCCAGAACACTGCTACTGGGTTCTGAGTGTTTGTCCCTCACATAAGATTCCAGATCACTCCTGCTGTGGCCCGAATGTTTGTTCCTCACATAGTATTCCAGAACACTCCTGCTGTGGTCTGAATGTTTCTCCCTCATATAGGATTATAGAACATTACCGCTGTGGTCTGATGGTTGACCCTCACATAGGATTCCAGAACACTCTTGCTGGGTTCTGGGTGTTTGTGCCTCACATGGGATTCCAGAACAATCCCCCTGTGGTCTGAATGATTGTCCCTCACATAGGATTCTGGAACACTGCTGCAGGGCTCTGAGTATTTCCCCCTCACATAGGATTACAGAACATTGCTACTGGGGTCTGAATGTTTGTCCCTCACAAAGGATTCGAGAACACTGCTACGATGGTCTGAATTATTCTTCCTCACATAGGATTCTAGAAAACTCCTGCTGTGGTCTGAATGTTTGTCCATCACTTAGGATTCCAGAACACTGTTGTTGCATTCTGAGTGTTTTTCCCTCACGTAGGATTCCAGAAAACTCCTGCTGTTTTCTGAATGTATTTTCCTCACATGGGATTCCAGAACAATGCTAAGAGGGTCTGAATGTTTGTCCCACACGCAGGATTCCAGAACATGCCAGATGTGATCTGAATGATTGTCCCTCAAATAGGATTCCAGAACAGTGCTGCTGTGGTCTGAATGTTTGTTCCTCATATAGGGAAGGACAAACATGTAGACCCACGTAGCATTTTTCTGGATTCATACAAGAGGGACAAACTCTTAGAACCCAACAGCAGTGTTCTGGAATCCTCAGTGAGGGACAAACATTCAGACCACAGCAGGAGGATTGTGGAATCCTATCTGAGGGAGAAACACTCAGAACCCAGCAGCAATGTTCTGGAATCCTATGTGATGGATAATCATTCAGACCACAGCTGGGGTTTCCTGCAATTCTACATGCAAGACAAGCATTCAGACCCTCGTAGCATTGTTCTGGAATCCTATGTGAGGACAATGCATTCAGAACACAGCAGGAGTGATATGGAGTCCTATGTGTGGGACAAACATTCAGACCATGTTAGCAGTGTTCTGGAATCCTATGTTAGGGACAAGCATTTAGACACATGCTGCAGTGTTATGGAATTGTACGTGAGGGACAAATACTCAAAACCCAACAACTGTGTTCTGGAATCCTAGGTGAGGGAGAAAAATTCAGAACCTCATAGCAGAGTTCTGGAATCCTATGTGAGGGACAAACATTCAGACACCAGTACCAGTGTTCTGGAATCCTATTTGAAGGAGAAACACTCAGAAAACAGCAGGAAGGTTTTAATGCTATGTAAGAAACATTCAGACCACAGCAGGATTGTTCTGGAATCCCATGTGAGGTGCAAACACCTAGACCACAGCAGGAGTGTTCGGGAATCCTATATTAGGGACAACCATTCCGACCACAGCAGTAGTGTTCTGGATTCCTGTATGAGGGACAAACCTTAAGACCACAGCAAGAGTGATCTGGAATCCTATGTGAGGAACAAACATTCAGACCACAGCAGCAGTGTTCTGGAACCCTATGTGAGGGACAAACACTCAGAAGCCCACAGCAGTCTTCTGGAATCCTATCTGAGGGAAAAACATTCACAGCAGGGCAGGAGTTTTCTGGAATCCTATGTGAGGTACAATCATTCAGACCATCGTAGCAGTGTTCTGGAATTTTAAGTGAGGGAGAAACACTCAGAAACTAGCAGCAGTGTTCTGGAATCTTATGTGAGGGAGAGTAATTCAGACCCTCGTAGCAGTGTTCTGGAATCCTATGTGAGAGACAAGCATTCAGACCCCAGTAGCAGTGTTGTGGAATCCTATGCGAGGTAGAAACACTCAGAACCCAGCAGCAGAGTTCCGGAATCCTATGTGAGGGACAATCATTCAGACCACAGCAGGGTGTTCTGGAATATTAAGTATGGGACAAACATTCAGACCCTAGTAGCATTGTTCTGGAATCCTATGTAAGGAAAATACATTCAAAGCACAGCAGGAGTGTTCTGGAGTCCTATGTGCGTGACAAACATTTAGACCCTCGTAGCAGTCTTCTGGAATCCTACGTGAAGGAAAAACATTTAGTCCCACGTAGAAGTGTTCTGGAATCATACGTGAGGGAGAAACACTCAGAACGCAACAGCAGTGATCTGGAATCCTAAGTGGGAGATAAACATTCAGATCACAGCGAGTGTTCTGAAACCCTATGTGAGGGGGAGATGCTCAGAACCCAGCAGCAGTGTTACGGAGTCTTATGTGAGGGACAATTATTCAGATCACAGCTGGGGTGTTCTGGAATCCTACGTGTGGGACAAACTTTCAGACCCTTGTAGCATTGTACTGGAATCCTATGTGAGGAAAATACATTCAGAACACAGCAGGAGTGTTCTGGAGTCCTACGTGCAGGACAAACATTCAGACCCTTGTAGCAGTGTTCTGAAATCCTATGTGAGGGATAAAAATTTAGACCCACGTCTCAGTGTTCTGGAGTCATACGTGAGGGACAAACAGACAGAACTCAACAGCAGTGTTCTGGAATCCTAAGTGAAGGACAAACATTGAGACCACAGTAGGAGTGTTCTGGAATCCTATGTGAGGGAGAATAATTAAGACCCTCATAGCAGTGTACTGGAATCCTATGTGAGGAACAAATATTCACACCCGAGTGGCAGTGTTCTGGAATACTTTTTGAGGGACAAACATTCACACTAGAGAAGGAATGTTTTGGAATCATATGTGAGGGAGAAATATTCAGACCACAGCAGGATTGTTCTGGAATCCCATGTGAGGCGCAAACACCTAGACCACAGCAGGGGTGTTCTGGAATGCTACGTGAGGGTCAACCATTCAGAAAACAACAGTAGTGTTTGGGAATCCTATATGAGGTACACACATTCAGAACAGAGTGGGAGTGTTCTGCAATCTTACCTGAGGAACAAACATTCAGACCACAGCAGCAGTGTTCTAGAATCCTATGTGAGGGACAACAACTAAGAACACAGCAGCAGTGTTCTGGAATCCTATCTGAGGAACCAACATTCAAAACAGAGCTGGAGAGTTCTGGAATCCTCTGTGAGGTACAATCATTCAGATTCTCGAACAGCGTTCTGGAATCCTATGTTAGGGAGAATAATTCAGACCCTTGCAGCAGTGTTCTGGAATCCTATGTGCGGGACAAACATTCAGACCCCAGTAGCATTGTTCTGGAATCCTACATGAGGGACAAACTCTCAGGACCCAACAGCAGTGTTCTGGAATCCTAAGTAAGGGACAAACATTCTGACCACAGCAGGAATGTTCTGGAATCCTACCTGAGGGACAATAATTAAGACCCTCATAGCAGTATTCTGGAATCCTATGTGAGGGACAAACATCCAGACCCCAGTAGCAGTGTTCTGGAATCCTATGTGAGGGACAAACACTCAGCACCCCGCAGCAGTGTTCTGGAATTCTATATGAAGCACAAACATTCAGATCACAGCAGGAGTGTTCTGGAATCCTATGTGATTAACGAACATTCAGACAACAGCAGCAATGTTCTGGAATACTATGTGAGGGACAAACACTCAGAATCTAGCAGCAGTGTCTGGAATCCTATCAGAGGGGCAAACATTCAGAGCACAGCAGGAGGGTTCTGGAATCCTGTGTGAGGTACAATCATTCAGACTCTCGTAGTAGTGTTCTGGAATCCTGTGTGAGGGAGAAACACTCAGAACCCAGTAGCAGTGTTCTGGCACTGTATGTGAGGGACAATCATTGAGACCTCAGCAGGGGTGTTCTGGAATCCTACATGTGGGACAAACATTCAGACCCTCGTAGCATTGTTGTGGAATCCTATGTGAGGAAAATACGTTCAGAAAACAGCAGGATTGTTCTGGAGTCCTATGTGCGGTACATTCAGACCCTCGTAGTAGTGTTCTTGAATTCTATGTGACGGACAAACATTTAGAGCCACGTAGCAGTGTTCTGGAATCGTGTGTGTGGGACAAACACTCAGAACCCAAAAACAGTGTTCTGGAATAATAAGATAGGGACAAACATTCAGACCACAGCAGGAGTGTTCTAGAATCTTAAGTTCGGGAGAATAATTCAGACGCTCTTAGCAGTGTTCTGGAATCCTATGTGAGGGACAATCATTCACACCCCAGTAGCAGTGTTCCGGAATCCTATTTTAGGGAGAAACACTCAGACCACAGCAGGAATGTTTTGGAAACCTATGTGAGGGAGAAACATTCAGACAACAGCAGGTTTGTTCTAGAATCCCATGTGAGGTACAAACACCCAGACCAAAGCAGGATTGTACTGGAATCCTATATGAGGTTCAACCATTGAGACCACAGCAGGAGTGTTCTGAAATCCTGTGTGATGAACAGACATTCAGAAGACAGGAGCAGTGTTCTGGAATCTTATGTGAGTGACAAACACTCAGAACCAAGCAGTAGTGTTCTGGAATCCTATCTGAGAGATAAACATTCACAACACAGCAGGAGTGTTCTGGAATCCTATGTGAGGTACAATCATTCAGACATTCGTAGCAGTGTTCTGGAATCCTATTTGAGGGAGAAACACTCAGAACCCAGAAGCAGTGTTCTGGAATCCTATGTGAGGGACAATCATTCAGACCACAGCTAAGGTGTTCTGGAATCCTATGTGTGGGACAAATATTTGGACCCTCGTAGCATTGTTCTGCAATCCTGTGTGAGGAAAATACATTCAGAACACAGCAGGGGTGCTCTGGAGTCCAATGTGCGGGACAAACATTCATGCCCTTGTAGCAGTGTTCTGGAATACTATGTAAGGGACAAACTTTTAGACCCATGTAGCAGTGTTCTGGAATCGTAAGTGAGGGACACTCAGAAGCCAACAGCAGTGTTCTGGAATCCTAAGTGAGGGACAAACGTTCAGACATCAGCAGTATTGTTCTGGAATCCTATGTGAAGGAGAATAATTCAAACCCTTGTAGCAGTGTTCTGGAATCCCACGTGAGGGAGAAACACTCAGAACCAGCAGCAGTGTTCCAGAAACCTATGTGAGGGACAATCATTGAGACCACAGCAGGGGTGTTCTGGAGTCCTACGTGTGGAACAAACATTCAGACCCTGTTAGCATTGTCCTTGAATCCTATGTGAGGAAAATACATTCAGAACACTACAGTAGTGTTTTGGAGTCCTCTGTGTGGGAGAAACATTCAGACCCTCGTAGCAGTGTTCTGAAATCGTATGTGAGGGACAAACATTTAGACCCACACAGCAGTGTTCTGGAATCATACATGAGGGACAAACACTCAGAACTCAACAGCAGTGTTCTGGAGTCCTAAGTGAGGGACAAATATTCAGAAAACAGCAGGAATGTTCTGGAATCCTATGTGAGGAACAAACATTCAGACCACAGCAGAAGGGTTCTGCAGTCCCATGTGAGAGACAAACCCTCAGAACCCAGCAGCAGTGTTCTGGAATCTTATCTGGGGACAAACATTCAGACCAGAGCCGGAGTGTTCTGGAATCCTATGTGAGGGAGAAAACCTCAGAACCCAGTAGCTGTGTTCTGGAATCCTATGTGAGGGACAATCATTCAGATCACAGCTGGGGTGTTCTGCAATCCTACTTGTGGGACAAACATTCATACCCTCGTAGTATTCTTCTGGAATCCTACGTATGGAAAAAATATTCAGGACACTGCAGGAGTATTCTGGAGTCATAAGAGCTTGACATACATTCAGACACTTGTAGCAGTGTTCTGAAATCCTATGTGAGAGATAAACATTGAGACCCCAGTAGCAGTGTTATGGAATACTATGTGAGGGAGAAACACTCAGAACCCAGCAGCAGTGTTCTGGAATCCTATGGGAAGGATAATCATTCAGACCACAGCTCGGGTGTTCTGGAATCCTACGTGTGAGACAAACATTCAGACCCTCATAGCACTGTTTTGGAATCCTATGTGAAGAAAATACATTCAGAACACATCAGGATTGTTCTGGAGTCCTATGAGCGGGAGAAACATTCATACCCTCGTAGCAGTGTTCTGCAACCCTATGTGAGTGACCAATATTTAGACCCACATAGCAGTGTTCTGGAATCGTATGTGACGGACAAAAACTCAGAACTCAACAACAGTATTCTGGAATCGTAACTGAGGGACAAACATTCCGACCACAGCAGGAGTGTTCTGCAATCATATGTGAGGGAGAATAATTCAGACCCTCTTAGTATTGTTCTGGAACCCTAAGTGAGGGACAAACATTCAGACCCCAGTGGAAATTTTATGGAATCCTATTTGAGGGACAAACACTGAGACCAGAGCAGGAATGCTTTGGTATCCTATGTGGGGGAGAAACATTCAGACCACAGAAGGATTGTTCTGGAAATCCATGTGAGGCACAAACACCCAGACCACAACAGCAGTACTCTGGAATCCTATGTGAGGGTTAACCATTCACACCTGAGCAGTTGTGTTCTGGAATCCTATATGAGGGAGAAAAATTCAGACCACAGCAGGAGTGTTCTGGAGTGCTATGTGAGAAACAAACATTCAGACCGCAGCAGCAGTGTTCTGGAATCCTATGTGAGGGACAGACACTCAGAACCCAGCAGCAGTGTTCTGGAATCCCATCTGAGGGACAAACATTCAGAGCAGAGCAGGAGTGTTCTGGAATCCTATGTGAGGTACAATCATTCAGACCCTTGTAGCAGTGTTCTGGAATTCTCTGTGAGGAGATACACTGAGAACCCAAAAACAGTGTTCTGGAATCCTTTGAGAGTGAGAGTAATTCAGACCCTCGTTGCAGGGTTCTGGAATCCTATGTGAGAGACAAACATTCAGATCCCTGTAGCAGTGTTCTGGAATCCTATGTGAGGGGGAAAATTTCAGATCCCCGTAGCAGTGTTCCGGAATCCTATATGTGGGAGAAACACTCAGAAACCAGCAGCAGTGTTCTGTAATCCTTTGTGAGAGACAGTCAATCAGACCACTGCTGGGGTGTTCTGGAATACTAAGTGTGGGACAAACATTCAGACCCTCGTAGCATTGTTGTGGAATCCTATGTGAGGAAAATACATTCAGAACACAGCAGGAGTGTTCTGGAGTCCTATGTGCGGGACTAACATTCAGACCCTCATAGCAGTGTTCAGATAGCCTATGTGAGGGACAAACATTTAGACCCACGTAGTTATGTTCTGGAATCGTACGTGAAGGACAAACACTCAGAACCCAACAGCAGTGATCTGGAATCCTAAGTGAGGGACAAATATTCACAACACAGCAAGAGTGTTCTGGAATCCTACTTGACGGGGAAACACTCAGAACGCAGCAGCAATGTTCTGGAATCCTATGTGAGGGACAGTCATTCAGAACACAGCTGGGGTGTTCTGGAATCCTACGTGTGGGACAAACATTCAGACCCTCGTAGCATTGTACTGGAATCCTACGTGAGGAAAATACATTCTGAACACAGCAGGAGTGTTCTGGAGTCCTATTGGGGGAACAAACATTCAGACCCTCTTAGAAGTGTTCTGGAATCCTATGAGAGGGACAAACATTTAGACCCTCTTAGAAGTGTTCTGGAATCCTATGAGAGGGACAAACATTTAGACCCTCTTAGAAGTGTTCTGGAATCCTATGAGAGGGACAAACATTTAGACCCTCTTAGAAGTGTTCTGGAATCCTATGAGAGGGACAAACATTTAGACCCTCTTAGAAGTGTTCTGGAATCCTATGAGAGGGACAAACATTTAGACCCTCTTAGAAGTGTTCTGGAATCCTATGAGAGGGACAAACATTTAGACCCTCTAGTAGCAGTGTCCTCGAATACTATGTGCGGGACAAATATTCAGACTGCAGTAGCAGTGTTCTGGAATCATACGTGAGTGACAATCACTTAGAAACCAACAGCAGTGTCCTGGAATCCTAAGTGAAGGACAAACTTTCAGAAGAAAGCAGGTGTGTTCTGGAATCCTATGTGAGGGGCAGTAATTCAGACCCTCGTAACAGTGTGCTGGAATCCTATGTGAGGGACAAACATTCAGACCCCAGTAGCAGTGTTCTGTATTCCTATTTGAGGGACAAACACACAGACCACAGCAGGAATGCTTTGGAATCCTATAAGAGTGAGTAACATTCAGACCACAGCAGGATTGTTCTGGAAACCCATGTGAGGCACAAACACCCAGACCACAACAGGATTGTTCTGGAATCCTATGTGAGGGATCAACACACAGAACCCAGCAGCAGTGTTCTGGAATCCTATTTGAGGGACAGTCCTGCAGACCACAGCTCTGACGTTCTGGAATCCTACGTGTGGGACAAACATTCAGACCCTTGTAGCATTGTTCTGCAATCCTATGTGAGGAAAATACATTAAGAACACAGCAGGAGTGTTATGGAGTCCTACGGGCAGAACAAACATTGAGACCCTCGCAACAGTGTTCTGGAATAGTTTGTGAGGGACAAACATTTAGACACATGTAGCAGTATTCTGGAATCGTACTTGAGGGAGAAACACTCAGAATCCAACAGCAGTGTTCTGGAATCCTAAGTGAGGGACAAACATTCAGACCACAACAGGAGTGTTCTGAAATCCTATGAGAAGGAGAATAATTCAGACCCTCGTAGAAGTGTTCTGGAATCCTATGTTAGGGACAAACATTCAGACCGCAGTAGCAGTGTTCTGGAATCCCACGTGAGGGATAAACACTCAGACCACAACAAGAATGTTTTGGAATCCTATGTGAGGGAGAAACATTCAGACGACAGCAGGATTATTCTGGAATCCCATATGAGGCACAAACACCCAGACCACAGAAGGAGGGTTCTGGAATCCTTTGTGATGGTCAAACATTCAGACCACAATAGTCATGTTCTGGAACCCAATAGGAGGAAAAAACTTTCAGACCACAACTGGAGTGTTCTGGAATCCTATGTGAGGAACAAACACTCAGACCACAGCAGCAGTGTTCTGGAATCCTACGTGAGAAACAAACATTTAGACTCACGTAGCAGTGTTCTGGCCTCATACGTGAGGGACAGACACTCAGAAACCAATAGCAGTGTTCTGTCATCCTAACTGAGGGACAAACATTCAGACAACAACAGGAATGTTCTGGAATCCTATGGGAGGGAGAAACACTCAGAACTCAGCAGCAGTGATCTGGAATCCTAAGTGAGGGACAAACATTCATACCACAGCACGAGTGTTCCAGAATCCTATGTAAGGAAGAATAATTCAGACCCTCGGATCAGTGTTCTGGACTCCTATGTGAGGGACAAACATTCAGAACCCAGTAGCAGTGTTCTGGAATCCTATGTGAGGGACAAGCACTCAGAACCCAGCAGCAAGGTTCTGGAATCCTATGTGAGGGACAGTCACTCAGACCACCCCTGGGGTGGTCTGCAATCCTACGTGTGGGTCAAGCATTCAGACCCTCGTAGCATTGTTCTAGAATTTTATGCTAGGAAAATACATTCAGAAAACAGCAGGAGTGTTCTGAAGTCCTACGTGTGGTGCAAACATTCAGACCCTCGTAGCAGTGTTCTGGAGTCCTATGTGCCTGGGAAACATTCAGACCCTCATAGCAGTGTTCTGGAATCCTATGTGAGGGACAAGCATTTGGACCCACGCAGCAGTGTTCTGCAATCGTACGCGAGGGAGAAACTCTCAGAATCCAACAGCAGAGTTCTGTAATCCTAAGTGAGGGACAAACGTTCATACAACAGCAGGAGTGTTCTGGAATCCTAAGTGAGGAACAAACATTCAGACTCCTGCCGGTGTGTTCTGGAATCCTATGAGAGGGAGAATAATTTAAACACTCCTAGCAGTGTTCTGGAATCCTACGTGATGGACCAACATTCAGACAACAGCAGGAGTGTTCTGGAATCCTACGTGTGGGAAAAAATATTCAGATCCTTGTAGCAGTGTTCTGGAATCCTATGTGAGGGTCAAACATTTAGATCCACGTAACAGTGCTGTGGAATTTTATGTCAGGGACAAACACTCAGAACCCACAGAAGTGTTCTGGAGTCCTAAGTGAGGGACAAACATTCAGTCCACAGCAGGAGTGTTATGGAATCCTATGTGAGGGAGAATAATACAGACACAAGTAGCAGTGTCCTGGAATCGTATGTGAGGGACAAACACCCAGAACTGAACAGCCGTGTTCTGGAATCCGAAGTGAAGTACAAACATTTAGACCACAGCAGGAGTTTTCTCGAATCCTATGTGAGGGAGAATAATTCAGATGCTCGTAGCAGTGTTCTGGAATCCTATCTGAGGGAAAAATATTCATAACACAGCACGAGTGTTCTGCAATCCTATGTGTGGGACAAATATTCAGACCACAGCAGGAGTGCTCAGCAATCCTATCTGAGGGACAAACATTCAGAACACAGCAGAAGTGTTCTGGAATCCTATGTGGAGGACAAACATTCAGATCCTCACAGCAGTGTTCTGGAATCCTGCGTGCGGGAGAAATAGTGAGACAATAGTAGCAGTGTTCTGGAATCCTATGTTAGGGACAAACATTGAAACAACAGCGGGTGTGTTCTGGAATTGTAAGCAGATGACAAACACTCAGACCCTCGTAGCAGTGTTCTTGAATACTATGTGAGGGACAAACATTCAGAACCCAGCAGCAGTGTTCTGGAACCCTATGTGAGGGACAAACATTCAGGCCACAGAGTGACTCTTCTGGAATCCTATCTGAGGTACAAACACTCAGAACACAGCAGTAGTGTTGTGGAATATTATGTAACGGACAAACATTCAGACCCTCGTAGTAGTGTTCTGGAATCCTAAGTGAGGGATGAACATTCAGACAATCGTAGAAGTGTTCTGCAATATTATGTGAGGGACAAACATTCAGACCTTCATAGCAGTGTTCTGGAATCCTATGTGAGGGACAAACTTTCAGACCCCAACATAAGTGTTCTTGAGTCCTATATGGGGGACAAACATTGAGATACCAAGAGGAGTATTCTGGAATCTTTTGTGAGGGATAAAAATAGAGACCACAGCAGGAATGTTCTGGAATGCTATGTGAGCAACAATCAATGAGACCCTAGCAGCAGTGTTCTTTGGTCATATGTGAGGCACAAACATTCAGACCCCAGCAGCAGTGTTCTGGAACACTATGTGAGGGACAAACATTCAGACAATCGTAGCACTGTTCTGGAATCCTATGTGAGGGACAAACATTAAGACTCCAGCTTCAGTGTTGTGGAATCCTATGTGAGGAACCAAAGTTCAAACAACAGCGGGAGTGTTCTGGAATCTTATGTAACGGAGAAATAGTCAGACCCTCGTCGCAGTGTTCTGGAGTTCTATGTGAGGGAGAAACACTCAGAACCCAGCAAAAGCGTTCTTGAATTCTATGGGACTGACATTCATATAGACCCCAACAGCAGTGTTCTGGAATCCTATTTGAGGGACAAACATTAAAACCCCAGAAGCAGTGTTCTGGAATCCTATGTGAGGGACAATCATTCAGACCCTCGTAACAGTGTTTTGGAATTCTGTGTGAGGGACAAACATTCATATGCTCATAGCAGTGTTCTAGAATCTAATGTGAGGAACAAACGTTCAGACCACAAGAGGAATGTTCTGGAATTCCCTGTGAGGAACAAGCATTCAGACCCTCGTAACAGTGTTCTGGAATCCTATGTGACAGAAAAACATTTAGACCCCTGCAGCAGTGTTCTGGAGTCCTATCTGAGGGACAAATATTCAGACAATCGAAGCAGTGTTCTGGAATCCTATGTGGGGGACAAACATTCGGACCCTTGTAGCAGGGTTCTGGAATCCTATGTGAAAGACAAACTTTCAGACCCCAGCATCAGTGTTATTGATTCCTATGTGATGGACAAACATTGAGACCCCAGCGGGAGTGATCGGGAATCTTTTGTGAGGGACAAAAATTCAGACCACAGCAGAAGTGTTCTGGAATGCTATGTGAGCAACAAACATTCAGAACGTAGCAGCAGAGTTCTTTGGTCATATGTGTGGAAAAAACATTGAGACCCCATCAGCAGTGTTCTGGAATCCTATGTGAGTTAAAAACATTCAGACAATCATAACCATGTTCTGGAATCCTATGTGAGGGACAAACATTCAGACCGCAGCAGCAGTGTTCTGGATTTCTAGGCGAGGGATAAACATTCAAACAACAGCGGGAGTGTTCTGGAATCCTACGTAACGGAAAAAGGTTCAGACCCTCATCGCAGTGTTATGGAGTTATATGTGAGGGAGAAACACTCAGAACCCAGCAGCAGTGTTCTGGAATCCTATGTGATGGACACACATGGAGAACCCAGCAGCAGTGTTCTGGATTCCTATGTGAAGGACAAACATTCAGTCCCCGGCAGCAGTGCTCTGGTTTCCTATGTGAGGGACAATCATTCAGACACTCGTAGCAGTGTTCTGGAATTCTGTGTTAGGGACAACCATTGAGAACCTCGTAGCAGTGTTCTGGAATCCTGTGTGTGGGATAAACATTGAGACCACAGCAGGAGTGTTCTGGAGTCCTAAGTCAGGTTCCAACATTCAGACCCTAGCAGCAGTGTTCTGGAAGCCCCTCTGAGGGACAAACATTCGGACCCTTGTAGCAGTGTTCTGGAATCCTATGTGAGGGAGAAACACTCAGAACCCAGCACCATTGTTCTGAAATCCTATGTGAGGGAGAATCATTCAGACCCCAGTAGCAGTGTTCTGGAATCCTATGTGAGGGACAAACATTGAGACCCACGTAGCCGTGTTCTATAATCGTATGTGGGGGATAAACTCTCAGAACCAAACAGCAGTTCTCTGGAATCCTAAGTGAGGGAAAAACATTCTGAGCCCAGCAGGAGTGTTATGGAATACTATGTGAGGGACAAACATTCAGACTGCAGCAGGATTGTTCTGGAAGTGTATGCAAGGGAGAAACACTCAGAACCCAGCAGCAGTGTTCTGGAGTCCTATGTGAGGAACAATCTTACAGACCACAGCTGTGGTGCTTTGGAATCCTATGTGTGAGACAAACATTCAGACCCTCGTAGCATTGTTCTGGAATCTATGTGAGGAAAATACATTCAGAACAGAGAACGAGAGATCTGGAGTCCTATGTGCTGGACAAACATTCAGATCCTCGTAGCAGTGTCATGGAATCCTATGTGAGTGACAAACATTTAGACCCACGTTGCAGTGTTCTGGAATCGTACGTGAGGGACATACACTCAGAACACAACAGCAGTGTTCTGGAATCCTAAGTGAGGGACAAACATTCAGACCACAGCAGGAGTGTTCTGGAATCCTATGTGAGGGAGAATAATTCAGAAACTCTTAGTAGTGTTCCAGAATCCTATGTGAGGAACAAACACTCAGAACCCTGTAGCAGTGTTCTGGAATCCTTTCAGAGGGTCAAAAATTCAGAAGAGAGCAGGAGAATTCTGGAATCCTATGTGAGGTTCACTCATTCACACCCTCATAGCATTGTTCTGGAATCCTATGTGAGAGACAAACACTCAGAACCCAGTAGCAGTGTTCTGGAATCCTATGTGAGGGAGATACATTCAGACCACAGCAGGAGTTTTCTGGAATCCTATGTGAGGGAGAGACACTCAGAACCCAGCAGCAGTGTTCTGGAATCCTATGTGAGGGACAATCATTCTGACCACAGCTGGGTGTTCTGGAATCCTTCGTGTGGGACAAACATTCATACCTTCATAGCATTGTTCTTTAATCTTATATGAGGAAAATACATTCAGAACACTGCAGGAATGTTCTGGAGTCCTAGGTGAGGGAGAAACATTCAAACCCTCCTAGCAGTGTTCTGGATTCCTATGTGAGGTACAAACATTTAGACCTACTTAGCAGTGTTCTGGAATCATACATTAAGGGCAAACACTGAGAACCCAACAACTGTGTTCTGGAATCCTAAGTGAGGGACAAACATTCAAACCACAAGAGGAGTGTTCTGGAATGCTACGTGAGGGAGAATTATTCAGACCCTCCTAGCAGTGTTCTGGAATCCTAAGTGAGGGCAAACATTCCGACCCCAGTAGCAGTGTTCTTGAATCCTATTTGAGGGACAAACACTCACACCACAGCAGGATGGTTCTGGAATCCCTTGTGAGGCATGAACACCCAGACCACAGCAGAAGTGTTCTGGAATCCTGTGAGAGAGTCAACTATTCAGACCACAGCAGTAGAGTTCTGGAATCCTACATGTGGGACAAACATTCAGACAACAGCAGGAGAGTTCTGGAATCCTATGTGAGGAAAAAGCATTCAGTCCACAGCAGGAGTGCTCTGGAATCCTATGTGAGGGACAATCATTCAGACAACAGCTGGGGTGTTCTGGAATCCTACGTCTGGGACAAACTTTCAGAGCCTTGTAGCATTCGTGTGGAATCCTATGTCAGGAAAATATGTTGAGAACACAGCAGCAGCGTTCTGGAGTCCTTTGTGTGGGACAAACATTCAGACTCTAGTAGCTGTGTTCTGGAATCCCATGTGATCGAGAAACATTTAGACCCACGTAGCAGTGTTATGGAATCATACCTGAGGGACAAACACTCAGAACTCAACAGCAGTATTCTGGAATCCTAAGTGAGTTGCAAACATTCAGACTACAGCAGGAGTGTTCTGGAATCCTATGTGAGGGAGAAACATTCAGAACACAGCAGCAGTGTTCTGGAATCCTACGTGAGGGACAATCATTCAGACCACAGCAGTAGTGTTCTGCAATCCTACCTGTGGGACAAACATTCACACCCTCGTAGCATTGTTCTGGTATCCAATGTGAGGAAAATACATTCAGAACACAGCAGGAGTTTTCTGGAGTCCTCTGTGTGGGACAAACATTCAGACCCTAATAGCTGTGTTCTGCAATCCTATGTGATCGACAAGCATTTGGACCCACGTAGCAGTGTTCTGGAATTATAACTGAGGGACAAACACTCAGAGCCTAACAGCAGTGTTCTGGAATCCCATGTGAGGGAGAAACATTCAGAACCCAGGAGCAATATTCCAGAATCCTATGTGAGGGACAATCATTCAGACCACCGATGGGATGTTCTGGAATCCTACGTGTGGGACAGACATTCAGACCCTCGTAGCATTGTTCTGATATCCTATGTGAGGAAAATGCATTTGGAACACAGCAGGAGTGTTCTGGAGTCCTATGTGTGAGACAAACATTCAGAACCTCATAGCAGTGTTCTGGAAACCTATGTGGGGGACAAACCCTGAAACCCACATAGCCGTGATCTAGAATTGTATGTGAGGGACAAACACTCAGAACCCAACAGCAGTGTTCTGGAATCCTAAGTGAGAGACAAGGATTCAGACTACAGCAGGAAAGTTCTGGAATCCTATGTGAGGGAGAATAATTCAGACCCTTGTAGTAGTGTTCTGGAATCCTATGTGAATGAAAGACATTCAGACCGCAGTAGCAATGTTCTGGAATCATGAGGGAGAAACACTCAGAACCCAGCATCAGTGTTCTGTAATCCTATGTGAGGGACAATCATTCACACTACAGCTGGGGTGTTCGAGAATCCTACGTGTGGGACAAACATTCAGACCCTCGTAGCATTGTTCTGGAGTCCTATCTGAGGAAAATACTTTCAAAATACAGCAGTTGTGTTCTGGAGCTCTATGTGGGGGACAAACATTCAGACTCTCATAGCAGTGTTCTGGAATACTATGTAAGGGACAAACATTTACACCCAGGTAACAGTGTTGTGGAATCGTACATGAGGGACAAAAACTAAGAACCATATAGCAGTGTTCTGGAATCCTAAGAGAGGGCCAAACATTCAGAACATACCAGGAGTGTTCTGGAATCCTATGTGAGGGAAAATAATTCAGAGCATCGTAGCAGTGTTCTGGAATCTTACGTGAGGGACAAACATTTAGGCCCCAGTAGCAGTTTTCTGGAATCCTATGGGACAAACATTTAGACCCCAGTAGCAGTTTTCTGGAATCCTATGTGAGGGAGAAATGCTGAGAACCCAGCAGCAGTGTTCTGGAATTCCAAGTGAGGTACAAACATTCAGACCACAGCAGGGGTGTTATGGAATCCTATGTGAGGCAGAAACATTCAGATCACAGAAGGATTGTTCTGGAATCCCATATTAGGCACAAACACCAAGACCACAGCAGGAGTGTTCTGGAATCCTATGTGAGGGTCAACCATTCAGACCACAGCAGGAGTGTTCTGGAATCCTATGTGAGGGTCAACCATTCAGACCACAGCAGTAGTGTTCTGCAATGTTCTATGAGGGACAAACATTCAGACCACAGCAGGTGTGCTCTGGAATCCTATGTGAGGAACAAACATTCAGACCACAGCAGGTGTGCTCTGGAAACCTATGTGAGAAACAAACATTCAGACCACAGCATCAGTGTTCTGGAATCCTATGTGAGGGACCAACACTCAGAACCCAGCAGCACTGTTTGGAATCCTATCTGAGGGGAAAACATTCAAACCACTGTAGGAGTGTTCTGGAATCCTATGTGAGGTACAATCATTAAGACCCTCGTAGCAGTGTTCTGGATTCCCATGTGAGGGAGAAACACTCAGAACCTAGCAGCAGTGTTCTGGAATCCTATGTGAGGGACAGTAATTCAGACCACAGCTTGGGTGTTCTGCAATCCTATGTGAGGGACAAACATTCAGACCCTCTTAGCATTTTTCTGGAATCCTATGTGAGGAAAATACATTCAGAATACAGCAGGAGTGTTCTGGAGTCCTATGTGTGGGACATATATTCAGATCCTCGTAGCAGTGTTCTGGAATCCTATGTGAGTTACGAATATTTAGACCCACATATCAGTGTTCTGGAATCCTATTGGAGGGACAAACACTCAGACTACAGAAGGAATGTTCTGGAATCCTATGTGAGGGAGAGTAATTCGGACCCTCGTTGCAATGTTATGGAATCCTATGTGAAGGACAAACATTCAGACCCCAGTAGCAGTGTTCTGGAATCCTATTTGAGGGACAAACAGTCAGACCACAGCAGGAATGTTTTGGAATCCTATGTGAGGGTGAACCATTGAGACCACAGCAGTAGTGTTCTCGTATCCTATATGAAGGACAATCATTTAGACCCATGTAGCAGTGTTCTGCAATCCTAACACTAAGATTAACACAAACACTAAATCCCAACAGCAGTGTTCTGTAATCCTAAGTGAGGAAAAAACATTCAGACCACAGCAGGAGTGTTCTGGAATCCTATGTGAGGGTGATTAATTCAGACACTCGTATCAGTGTTCTGGAATCCTATGTGAGGGACAAACATTCAGACCCCAGTAGCAGTGTTCTGGAATCTTATGTGAGGAAGAAACAGTCAGAATCCGGCAGCAGTGCTCTGGAATCCTTTGTGAGGGACAATCATTCAGACCACAGAGGATTGGTCTGGAATCCTACGTTTGGAACAAACATTCAGACCCTCGTAGCATTGTTTTGGAATCCTATGTGAGGAAAATACATTCAGAACACAGCAGGAGTGTTCTGGATTCCTATGTGCGGGAGACACATTCAAACACTTGTAGCAGTGTTCTGGAATCCTATGTGACAGACAAACATTTAGACCCACATAGAAGTGTTCTGAAATCGTACGTGAAGCACAAACACTCAAAACAGAGCAGTTGTGTTCTGGAATCCTATCTGAGGAACAAACATTCAGACCAGAGCAGGAGTGTTCTGGAATCCTATGTGAGGTACAATCATTCAGACACTCGTAACATTGTTCTGGAAACGTATATGAGGAGAATACATTCAGAACACAGCAGGAGTGTTCTGGAGTCCCATAAGCGGGGCAAACATTCATACCCTCGTAGCTAAGTTCTGGAATCCTATGTGAGGGACAAACATTTAAACCCACATAGCAGTGTTCTGGAATCATACGTCAGGGATAAACACTCAGAACCCAACAGCAGTGTTCTGGAATACAAAGTGAGGGACCAACATACAGACCACAGCAGGAGTGTTCTGGAAAACTATGTGAGGGAGAAAAATTCAGACCCTTGGAGCAGTTTTCTGGAATCCTTTGTGAGGGACAAACATTTAGAGAACCCAGTAGCAGTGTTCTGGAACCCTATGTGAGGGAGAAACAATAAGAACCCAGCAGCAGTGCTCTCGAAACCTATGTGAGGGACAATCATTCAGACCACAGCTGTGGTGTTCTGGAATCCTACCAGTGGGACAACCATTCAGACCCTTCCATTGTTATGGAATCCTATGAGAGGAAAATACATTCATAACACAGCAGGAGAGTTCTTGAGTCCTATGTGTGGGACAAACATTCAGACCCTCGTAGCAGTGTTCTGTAATCCTATGTGAGGGACAGACATTTAGACCCACATAGCAGTATTCTGGAATCGTTTGTGAGGGACAAACACTCAGAACCCAACAGCAGTGTTCTGTAATCCGAAGTGAAGAACAAACATTCAGACCACAGCAGGAGTGTTCTGGTATCCTATGTGAGGGAAAATACTTCAAACCCTGGTAGCAATGTTCTGGAATCCTATGTGAGGGACAAATTTTCAGACCCCAGTAGCAGTGTTCTAGAATACTACTTGAGGAACAAACACTTAGACCACAGCAGGAATGTTCTGCAATCCTATGTGAGGGAGAAACATACAGACCACAGCAGGATTGCTCTGGAATCTCATGTGAGGCACAAACAGCCAGACCACAGCAGGATTGTTCTGGAATACTATGTGTGGTACAACCATTCAGACCACAGGAGTAGTGTTCTGGAATCCTACATGAGGGACAAACATTCAGAGAGTACAGGAGTGTTCTGGAATCATATGGGAGGAACAAACATTCAGACCACAGCAGCGCTTTTTTGGAATCCTATGTGAGGGACAAACACTCAGAACCCAGCAGCAGTGTTCTGGAATCTTATCTGAGAGACAAACATTCAGACCAGAGCAGGGGCGTTCTGGAATCCTATGTGAGGTACAATCATTCAGACCCTCGTAGCAGTGTTCTGGAATCCGATGTGAGGGAGAAACACTCAGAATCCAGCAGCAGTGTTCTGGAATTCTATGTAAGGGACATTCATTCAGACCACAGGTGGGTTATTCTGCAGTCCTTCGTGTGTGACAAACATTCAGACCCTGGTAGCATTGTTCTGGAATCTCATGTGAGAAAAATTATTCAGAACACAGCAGGAGTGTTCTGGAGACCTATGTGCGGGAGAGACATTCAGACCCTCGTAGCAGTGTTGTGGAATCCTATGTGAAGGAGAAACTTTTGGATCCACGTGACAGTGTTCTGGAATCGTACGTGAGGAACACTCAGAACCCAACAGCAGTGTTCTGTAATCCTAAGTGAGGGACAAACATTCAGGCCACAGCCACAGTGTTCTGGAATCCTATCTGAGGGAGAAACACTCAGAACCAAGCAGCAGTGATCTGGAATCCTATGTGAGGGACAAACATTCAGACCACAGCAGGAGTGTTCTGGAATCCTATGTTAGGGAGAATAATTCAGATCCTTTTAGCAATTTCCTGAAATCCGACGTGAGGGACAAACATTCAGACACCAGTAGCAGTTTTCTGGAATCCTATGTGAGGGAGAAACACTCAGAACCCAACAGCAGTTTTCCGGAATCCTATGTGAGGGACAATCATTCAGAACACAGCTGGGACGTTTTGGAATCCTGCATATCGGACAAACATTCAAACCCTCATAGCATTGTTCTGGAATCCTAAGTGAGGAAAATATTTTCAGAAAACAGCAGATGTTTTCTGGAGTCCTGTGGGTGGGACAACATTCAGACCCTCGTAGCAGTGTTCTGGAATCCTATGTGAGAGAAAAACATTTAGACCCACGTAGCAGTGTTCTGGACTAGTATGTAAGTGAGAAATACACAGAACCCAACAACAGTGTTCTCGAATCGTAAGTGAGGGACAAACATTCAGACAACAGGTGGAGTGTTCTGGAATCCGATGGGATGGGGAATAATTAAGACACCCGTAGCAGTGTTCTGGAATCCTATGTGAGGGGCAAACATTCAGACCTTCATAGCAGTGTTCTGGAATCCTGTGTGACGGACAAACATTTAGAATCAAGTAGCAGTGTTCTGTAATCAAAGGTGAGGGACAAACACTCAGAACCCAACAGCAGTGTTCTAGAATCCTCAGTGAGCGACAAACATTCAGACCACAGCAGGAGAGTTCTGGAACCCTATGTGAGGGACAAACATTCAGACACTCATAGCAGTGTTCTGGAATCCTATGAGAGGGACAAACATTTAGACCCACGTACCAGTGTGCTGGAATAGTACGTGAGGGACAAACACTCAGAACACAACAGCAGTGTTCTGGAATCCTAAGTGAGGGACATTCAGATGATGGCAGGAGTGTTCTGGAATCCTATGTGAGGGAGAATAATTCAGAACCTCGTAGCAGTGCTCTGGAATCCTATGTGAGGGACAAACTTTCAGACCCCAGCAGCAGTGTTCTGAAATCCTATGTGAGAGAGAACCTCTCAGAAACCAGCAGCAGTTTTCCAGAATCTTATATGAAGGCCAATCATTCAGACGATAGCTGGGGTGTTCTGGAAACCTAACTGTGGGACAAACATTCAGACCCTCGTAGCGGTGTTCGGGAATCCTATCTGAGGGACAAACATTTAGAGACACGTAGCAGTGGTCTGGAATCGTAAATGAGGGACAAACACTCAGAACCCAACAGCAGTATTCTGGAAACCTAAGTGAGAGACACGCATTCAGACAACAGCAAGAGTGTTCTGGATTCCTATGTGAGGGAGAAACACTCAGAACCCAGCGTCATTGTTCTGGATCCTATGTGAGAGACCATCAGAAAGATCACAGCTGGTGGGTTCTGGAATCCAAGTTTGGGACAAAGATTCAGACCCTCGTAGCATTGTTCTGGAGTCCTGTGTGAGGGACAAACATTTAGACCCACGTGGCAGGGTTCTGGAATCGTACATGAGGGACAAACACTCAGAACCCAACAGCAGTGTTCTGGAATCCTCAGTGAGGGATAAACATTCAGACGACAACAGGAGTGTTCTGGAATCCTATATGATGGAGAATAATTCAGACCCTTGTAGCAGTGTTCTGGAATCCTATGTGAGGGAGAAACTTTCAGACCACAGTAGCAGTGTTCTGGAATCCTATTTGTGGGAGAAACACTCAGAAAACAGCAGGAATGTTTTGGAACCTATGTGAGGGAGAAACATTCAGACCACAGCAGGATTCTGGTCAACAATTCAGACCAAGGCAGTAATGTTCTGGATTCCTATATGAGGGACAATCGTTCAGACCATAGCAGGTGAGTTCTGGAGTCCTATGCGAGGAACAAACATTTTGAACACAGCAGCAGTGTTCTGGAATCCTATTTGAGGGACAAACGTGCAGAACCTAAGAGCAGTGATCTGGAATCCTATCTGTGGGACAAATATTCAGAACGGAGCAGGAGGGTTCTGGAATACTATGTGAGGTACAATCATTCAGAACCTCGTAGCAGAGTTCTGGAGTCCTATGTGAAGGAGAAACACTCAGAACCCAGCAGCAGTGTTCGGGAATCCAATGTGAGGGACGATCTTTCAGACCACAGCTGTGGTGTTCTGGATTCCTAAGTGTGGGACAAACATTCAGACCCTCTTAGCATTGTTCTGGAATTTTATGTGAGGTAAATACATTCAGAACACAGAAGGAGATTTCTGGAGTCCATTGTGCGGGACAAACATTCAGAACCTCACAGCAGTATTCTGCAATCCTATGTGAGGGATAAACATTTAAACCCACGGAACAGTGTTCTGGAATCTTACATAAGGGACAAACACTCAGAACCCAACAGCAGTGTCCTAGAATCCCAAGTGAGGGACAAACATTCAGACCACAGCAGGAATCTTCTGGAATCCTATGTGAGGGAGAATAATTCAGACACTCGTAGCAGTGTTCTGGAATCCTATGTGAGGGACAAACATTCAGACCACAGCAGTAGTGTTCTGGAATCCTATGTGAGGGAGAAACACTCACAACTGAGCAGCAGTGTTCTGGAATCCTATGGGAGGGACAATCATTCAGATCACACCTGGGGTGCTCTGAAATCCTACATGTGAAAGAAACATTCACACGCTAGTAGCGTTGTTCTGGAATCCTGTGTGAGTAAAATACTTTCAAAACACAGCAGGAGTGTTCTGGAAGCCTATATGCGGGATATAAATGCAGTCCACAGTAGCAGTGTTCTGGAATCCTATGTGAGGCAAACACTCAGTACCCAAGGGCAGGGATCTGGAATCCTCAGTGAGGGACAAACATTCTGACCACAACAGGAGAGTTCTGGAAACCTATTTGAGGGAGAAAGCTTCAGAACCCAGCAGCAGTGTTCTGGAGTCCTATGTGTGGGACAATCATTCAGAAAACCGCTAGGGTGTACTAGAATCCTAAGTGTGGAACAAAGATTCAGAACCTTGTAGCATTGTTCGGGACTTCTATGTGAATAAAATACATTCAGAACACAGCAGGAGTGTTCTGTAGTCTTATATGAAGAAAAAGCATTCAGTCCTTCATAGCACGGTTCTGGAATCCTATGTGAGGGACAAACATTTAGACTCATGTAGAATTGTTCTGTAACCCTACGTGAGGGACACTCAGAACCCAACAGCAGTGTTCTGGATTCCTAAGTGAGCGACAAACATTCAGACCACAGAAGGAGTGTTCTGTAATCCTATGTGAGGGAGAAACACTCAGAACCCATAAGCCATGTTCTGGAATCCTATGTAAGAGACAATCATCCAGACCATTGTAACATTGTTCTGGAATCCTATGTGAGAAAAACACCTTCAAAACACAGCAGTAGTATTCTGGAGATCTATGTGCGAGACAAACATACAGACCCTCGAAACAGTGTTCTGGAATCCTAGGTAAGGGAAAAACATTTAGACCCACATAGCAGTCTTCTGGAATCGTACGTGAGGAACAAACATTCCGAACCCAACAACAGTGTTCTGGAATCTTAAGTGAGGGACAAACATTCAGACCACAGCAGGAGTGTTCTGGAATCCCATGTGTGGGAGAATAATTGAGACCCTTGTAGCAGTGTTCTCGAATCCTATCTGAGGGAAAAAAATTCAGACCCCAGTAGCAGTGTTATGGAATCCTCAGTGAGGGAGAAACACTCAGAACCCAGCAGCAGTGTTCTGGAATCCTATGTGTTGGACAATCATTCAGACCACAGCTGGGGTGTTCTGGATCCCTAGGTGTGGGACAAACATTCAGACCCTCGTAGTAATGTTCTGGAATCCTATGTGAGGAAGAACATTCAGAAGACAGCAGGAGTGTTGTGGAGTCCTATGTGTGGGACAAACATTCAGACCCTCGTAGCAGTGCTCTGGAATCCTACGTGAGGAACAAACTTTCAGACCACAGTAGAAGTATTCTGGAATCCTATTTGTGGGACAAACACTCAGACCACAGCAGGAATGTTTTGGAATCCTATGTGAGGGAGAATCATGCAGACCACAGCAGGATTGTTCTGGAATCCCACGTAAGGCACAAACACCCAGACCACAACAGGAGTGTTCTGGAATCCTATGTAAGGGTCAACCTTTCAGAACACAGCAGCAGTGTTCTGGAATCCTATAGGAGGGACAAACATTCAGACCACAGCAAGAGAGTTCTGGAATCCTATGTGAGGAACAAACATTCAGGCCA
>NT_187497.1:0-66942 GCF_000001405.40 Homo sapiens | reverse complement strand
CTATGTAAGGGACAATCATTCAGAACACAGCTGGGGTGTTCTGGAATCCTACGTGTGGGACAAACATTCAGACCCTCGTATCATTGTTCCAGAATCCTATGTGAGGAAGAACATTCAGAACACAGAAGGAGTGTTCTGGAGTCCTATGTGCATGACAAACACTCATACTCTCATGGTAGTGTTCTGGAATCCTATGTGAGGGACAAACATTTAGAAGCACGTAGCAGTGTTCTGGAATCGTACATGAGGGACAAACACTCAGAACCCAACAGCAGTGTTTTGGAGTCCTAAGTGAGGGAAAAACATTCAGACCACAGTAGGAGTGTCCTGGAGTCCTATGTGAGGGAGAATAATTCAGACCATTGCAGCAGTGTTCTGGAATCCTTTGTGAGGGACAAATATTCAGATGTCAGTAGCAGGGTTCTGCAATCCTATGTGAGGGAGAAACACTCAGAACCCAGCAGCGGTGTCCTGGAATGCTAATTGAGGGAAAAACACACAGATCACAGAAGGAATATTCTGGAATCCATTGTGAGGGAGAATAATACAGACCCTCGTAGCAGTGTTCTGGAATCCTATGTGAGGGAGAAATGCTCAACCCAGAAGCAGTGTTCTGCAATCCTATGTGAGGGACAATCATTCAGACTACAGCCGGGGTGTTCTGGAGTCCTACGTGTGGGACAAACATGCAGACCCGCGTAGCATTTTTCTGGAATCCTCTTTGAGGAAAATACATTCAGAACACAACAGGAGTGTTGTGGAGTCCTATGTGCGGGACAAACATTCAGTCCCTCGTAGCAGTGTTCTGGAATGCCATGTGAGGGAGAAACACTCATAACCCAGTAGTAGTATTGTGGAATCCTATATGAGGGACAATCATTCATACCACAGTTGAGGCATTCTGGAATCCTATGTGTGGGGCAAACATTCAGACCCGGACCCTTGTAGCACTGTTCTGCAATCCTATGTGAGGAACAAACTTTTAGACCCAGGGAGCAGTGTTCTGGAACCGCAAGTGAGAGACAAACACTTGGAACCCTACAGCAGTGTCCTGGAATCCTAATTGAGGGACAAACATACAGACCACGAAGGAATCTTCTGGAATCCTATGTGAGGGAGAATAATTCAGACCCTCGTAGCAGTGTTCTGCAATCCTATGTGAGGGAAAAACTTTCAGACCACAGTAGCAGTGTTCTGGAATACCATGTGAGGGAGAAACACTCACAACCCAGCAGCAGTGTTCTGGAATCCTATGTGAGGGACAATCATTCAGACCACAGCTGAGTTGTTCTGGAGTCCTAGGTTTGGGACAAAGATTCAGACTCACGTAGCATTGCTGTGGAATCCTATGTGAGGAAAATACTTTCAGAACACACTAGGTGTGTTCCAGAGTCCTATGTGCGAGACAAACATTCAGTCCCTTGTAGCAGTGTTCTAGACTCCTATGTGAGGGACAAACATTTACACCCATGTATCAGTGTTCTGTAACCGTACGTGAAGGACAAACAGTCAGAACCCAACAGCAGTGTTCTGCATTCCTAAGTGAGGGACAAACATTCAGATCATAGAAGGAGTGTTCTGTAATCCTATGTGAGGGAGAAACATTCAGAACCCAGAAGAAGTGTGCTGGAATCCTCTGTGAGGGACAATCATTTATACCATTGTAGCATTGTTCTGGAATCCTATGTGAGGAAAAACCCTTCAGAACACAGCAGTAGTGTTCTGCGGACCTACGTGCGGGACAAACATACAGACCCTCATAGCAGTGTTCTGGAATCTTATGTGAGGGAAAAACATTTAGACACACGTAGCAGTGTTTTGGAATCGTACGTGAGGGTCAAACACACAGAACCCGACAGCAGTGTTCTGGAAGCTTAAGTGAGGGACAAACATTCAGACCACAACAGGAGTGTTCTGGAATCCTATGTGAGGGAGAATAATTAAGATCCTCATAGCAGAGTTCTGGAATCCTATGTGAGGGAGAAAAATTCAGATCCCAGTAGCAATGTTTTGGAATCCTACGTAAAGGAGAAACACTCAGAACCCAGCAGCTGCGTTCTGGAATCCTATGTGAGGGACAATCATTCACACCACATCTGGGATGTTCTGGGTCCCTATGTGTGAGACAAACATTCAGACCCTCATAGCAATGTTATGGAATACTATGTGAGGAAGAACATTCAGAACACAGCAGCAGTGTTCTGGAGTCCTATGTGAGGGACAGTCATTCAGACCCCAGTTGGGGTGTTTTGGATCCCTAGGTGTGGGACAAATATTCAGAACCTCGTAGCATTGTTCTGGAATCCTATGTGAGGAAGAACATTCAGAACACAGTAGGAGTGTTCTGGAGTCCTATGTGCGGGACAAGCATTCAGAACCTCGTAGCAGTGTTCTGGAATTCTATGGGAGGGACCAACATTTAGACCCACGTAGCAATGTTCTGGAATCGTATGGGGGGGAAACACTCAGTACCCAAGAACAGGGATCTGGAATCTTCAGTGAGTGACAAACATTCTGACCAGAGCAGGAGTGTTCTGGAAACATATTTGAAGGACAAACACTCAGAACCCAGCAGCTTTGTTCTGGAATCCTATGTGTGGGACAATCATTCAGAAAACCACTGAGGTGTTCTGGAATCCCACGTGTGGAACAAACATTCAGACCCTTGTAGCATTGTTCTGGAATCCTATGTGAGGAAAATACCTTCAGAACAAAGCAGGAGTGTTCTGGAGTCCTATGTGTGGGACAAACATTCAGAGCCTCGTAGCAGTGTTCTGGAATCTGATGTGAGGGAAAATCATTTAGACCCACGTAGCAGTGTTCTGGAATCGTACATGAGGGACAAACACTCAGACTCCAACAGCAGTGTTCTGGAATCCTAAGAGTGGGACAAACATTCAGACCACAGCAGGAGTGTTCTGGAATCCTATATGAGGGAGAATAAATCAGACGCTGTTAGCAGTGTTCTGTAATCCAATGTGAGGGACAAACTTTCAGACACCAGTAGCAGTATTCTGGAATCCTATTTGTGGTACAAACACTCAGAAAACAGCAGGAATGTTTTGGAATCCTATGTGAGGGACAAACAGTCAGACCACAGCAGGATTGTTATGAAATCCCATGTGAGGCAAAAACACCCAGACCACAGCAGGAATGTACTGGAATCCTATGTGAGGGTCAACCATTCAGAATACAGCAGGAATGTTCTGGAATCCTATGTGAGTGTCAACCATTCAGACCACAGCACTAGTGTAATGGAATCCTACGTGAGGGACAAACTTTCAGAACCTCGTAACAGTGTTCTGGAATCCTATGTGAGGGACAAACACTCAGAACCCCGCAGCAGTGTTCTGGAATCCTAAGTGAGGGGCAAACATTCAGACCACAGCAGGAGTGTTCTGGAATCCTATGTGAGGGAGAATAATTCAGACCCTCGTAGCAGTGGTCTGGAATCCTATGTGAGGGAAAAACACTCAGAACCCAGCAGCAGTGTTCTGGAATCCTATGTGAGGGACAATCATTGAGACCACAACTGGGGTCTTCTTGAATCCTACGGGTTGGAAACGCATTCAGACTCTCGTAGCATTGTTCTGGAATCCTATTTTAGGAAAATACATTCAGAACACAGCGGGAGTGTTCTGGAGTCCTATGTGTGGGACAAATATTCAGACTCTCGTAGCAGTGTTCCGGAATCCTATGAGAGGGACAAATACTCAGAAACCCACAGCAGTGTTCTGTAATCCTATGTGATGTTCAAACATTCAGACCACAGCAGGAGTGTTCTGGAATCCAATGTGAGGGACAAGCATTCAGACCCCATCAGCAGTGTTCTGGAATCCTATCTGAGGGACAAACATTGACACCCAAGTAGCAGTGTTCTGGAATCTTATGTGCGGGACAAACACTCAGAACCCAACAGCAGTGTTCTGGAATCCTAAGTGAGGGACAACCATTCAGACCACAGCAGGAATGTTCTGGAATCCTGAGTGAGGCATAAACATTCAGACCACAGCAGGAGTGTTCTGGAATGCTATGTGAGGGAGAATAATTCAGACCCTCGTAGCAGTGTTCTGGAATCCTATTTGAGGCACAAACATTCAGACCCCAGTAGCAGTGTTTTGGAATCCTATTTGAGAGACAAACACTCAGACCACAGAAGGAATGTTTTGGAATCCTATCTGAGGGGGAAACATTCAGAACACAGCAGGATAGATCTGGAAACCCTTGTGAGTCACAAACACCCAGAAGACAACAGGAATATTCTGGAATCCTATGTGAGGGTCAAGCATTCAGACCACATCAGTAGTGTTCTGGAATCCTATGTGAGGGACAAACATTTAGACCCACGTAGCAGTGTTCTGGAATCCTATGTATGAGACAAACATTCAGAAACTCTTAGCAGTGTTGTGGAATCCTATGTGAGGGAGAAACACTCAGAACCCAGTAGCAGTGTTCTGGAATCCTATGTGAGGGACAAATACTCAGAACCCAGAAGCTGTGTTCTGGAATCCTATCTGAGGGACAAACATTCAGACCAGAGCAGGAGTGTTCTGGAGTCCTATGTGTGGGACAAACATTCAGACCCTCGTAGCAGTGTTGTGGAATCCTACGTGGGAGACAAACACTCAGAACCCAGTAGTAGTGTTCTGGAATCCTATCTGAGGGACAAAAATTCAGACCAGAGCAGGAGTGTTCTGGAATCCTATGTGAGGTACAATCATTCAGACCCTTGTACCAGTGTTCTGGAATCCTATGTGAGGGAGAAACACTCAGAACCCAGCAGCAGTGTTCTGGAATCCTATGTGAGGGACAATCATTCAGACTGCAGCTGGGGTGTTCTGGAATCCTACTTGTGGGAGAAGCATTCAGACCCTCGTAGCATTGTTCTGGAATCCTATGTTAGGAAAACACATTCAGAACACAGCAGGAGTGTTCTGGAGTCCTATGTATGGGACAAAGATTCAGACCCTCGTAGAAGTGTTCTGGAATCTTATGTGAGGTAGAAACAATCGTACCCTCTTAGCAGTGTTCTGCAATCTCATGTGAAGGACAAACATTCAGACCCTCTTAGCAGTGTTCTGGAATCCTATGTGAGGGACAAACACTCAGAACCCAGCAGCAGTGTTCCGGAATATTATCTGAGGGACAAACATTCAGACTAGAGGAGGAGTGTTCTGGAATCCTGTGTGAGGTACAATCATTCAGACCGCAGCAGCAGTGTTCTGGAATCATATGTGGGGGGCAATCATTCAGACGACAGCTGGGGTGTTCTAGAATCCTATGTGTGGGACAGGCATTCAGACCCTCGTAGCATTGTTCTGGAATCCTATGTTAAGAAAATACAAATGTAAGGCTGAAAGTTGTAAAACTCCTACACAAAAATATAAGGGAAAAAATATCCTACATTATGCCATTGAATTTGGCAAAGGGTTCTTGACTGTCAGCAGCCCCACATCCCTGGAGCATCCATCCGCTCACCGCTGCCTGGTGCTAGGTCCCTCCACACCTAGCCCTGCTTTGTGAGGGGCTCTGAGGGGCACCAGCCAGGACCCCACTCTGAGCACACGGCACAGGCCGGGCATTCTCGGGCTATTCACTGGCAGGCTATCCCCACGTGTGCCTCAAGTACCAGGAGGAAGGGCAGCCTGATTGGAGTCTGTGGAAGTAGGAAGAAGCTCGTTTCCTGAGCCAGCAGGTACACAGAGGCGGATGCGGGACACAGGGACCCAGGGGTGGATGCCATAAAAATATATGGCATGTATTTTGAAACATGGCTGCAATTTCAATAATTAGAATATCTAAAAACTCCAAAGATTGTTATGCTAAAACTGCACCAAAATTTATCATTCCAGTGACTACAGGGAATTTTTAATAGTTGTTATTTTTGTAATAAAATTGAACTGTAATGAAATAACTGACTTTCAAACTTCAGCAAGAGGACAAATATTCAGCCAGAGATATCAGTTCCCAGTTTCTGCTCCGGGTCTTCTCTGGTCTCCCACAGCCCCTCTTGCATCACCCAGGGCTAAGGGGCCACCTGATCTGGCCTGCATCCCCTCATCCCTCCCCTTCCCCACCCAGCTCCTGCAGCAACCTCCTGGGGCAGGTTTGGCGAACCGTCCAGAGCGGGAGGCTCCCTCGACCAGGGCAGCACTGCTTCGCCCCTCTCCGCACCTGCCCAGTCTCTGGCAAAGGACGTGCCTGGGCCTGGCCCACTGCCCGCCCCCCCAACGCCTGCCTTGTCCCTGCAATGGCAATGCTGCCAACAAGAGTTGCCAGAAGCTGAGGCGCAACCACCCCAGAGTGCAGCGTTCCCACTCATCTGGGAGCAGGGACACGCCCCTCCTGGTAGGTTGTACAGTCAAGATTATTTCCTCATTTATTTTACTTAAAACTGGTAGAATGTTACTATTATATGGTGTACTCATGATTCTGCCAGTAAATTTGGGCATACGTTTATTAGTTTTTGTCAGTTTAACTAGTTCTTTTGTTTCTGTTATTAAGGTGAAATTTAACTTCTATCTGAAATCAGTAAGATACAGAGAGATTTTAATGAGAAGTGAATATTTTTTTCTAAGGGGGAACTGATATCTCTGTCTGAATATGTGTCCTCTTGCTAAAGTTTGAAAGTCAGTTATTTTATTAAAATTTAATTTATTATAAAAATAACTATTAAAAATTCCCTGTCATCAATGGAAGGATAAATTTTAGTGCAGCGTTGGTATAACAATCTTCGGAATTTTTAAATATTCTAATTATTCAAATTGTGGTCATGCTTTAAAAATATATTCCATAGAAGTTATGCTATTTTAAAATACCATTCTCTATTGTGGGAAGAAGCAGTAAATTCACCTTAACCATAGCAGCCTGTAGAGCTGGCTAAAACAACCTTTAGAGGTTAAATTGTAATGAGGTAGGTCATCAATGCAAAAAACAGTTTTTTTAGTTGTTCCGCTACCATACAAAACTTATTAGAAGAATGTTCATAAATTAAAATCTGTGTTTGTTAAGACTTCTTTCTGCTGGGGGTTTAGAATGTAATAAAAGCTAAAAATAAAATTCTAAGCCACGTATCACTGAACATACTTCCTCTTGAGCAAGAAGACCCCAGAAAAAAACTTAAAAACTGAATTTCTGGCTATGACAGGAAGAGAGGTGTTATGTGCAGGAGATGCTCCAGGGGAGGAGAAAACACACACACACAAAACTTTAAAGGTCAACAAACTCTATCCCACATAAATGGCAATGCAGATATAATAAGCAAATGATGATAAAATAAGCAAATTGATACAACAAGCAAATTACAATGGGAAAGGGGAGAAGGAAAAAAATGTGTATACATATGTATATGTATATATATATATAGATAGACTATGGAAGATTGATCACCAGACCGAGAAGCAACAGCCTGGGCTCCAGAGTCAGCCATTCGTCCATGCACAAAGGAACACAAAAAGGTCAATTTGTTTTTGCCATTGTCTGTTGTTTTTCAATAACTAACGTATAGGAATAGATTGAAATAGAGATTTCTCTGAAACAGTGCTGGATGAATGCCTCAAGGGGCTCACAAAACCTATTCTGGGACTTGGTGACCATTGTGTCCATGTTCAATTGAGTTGAAATATATTATTTAACTTTTTCTCTGTATTCGGTCCCACTTGATACTCAATTGTAGGAAAACACCCTTGCAGATATACGGGGAATACATCATTGGTAGAGGTTAAAGAAGCAGGGTAAGCAGAGGAGAATTAAAGCACAATTAAATAAAATCACACCCACCAAGGCCAACGCCAATGTCAGTTGGACAGCCAATTCATGATGGGGTCCTGACAGATTCTAACTGTTTTAGTTGTCCTTGCATGTCTTGGGCAAGGAAAGTAATATTGTGAGAACTGTCAGGTATACACACACAACATTCAGTATGCAGCAAGGTTCAAACCCCTCCTTTGGCTGCTGCAAGCATACCTAATGGCATTCGATTTTGCTCCCAGTGTAATCAAGCAGAAAATGGTTGATTTCTGCATTTCCAACTGAGGTACCTGATTCATCTCATCGGGATTGGTTGGACAGTGGGTTCATCACATGGAGGGTTAGCCGAAGCAGGACAGGGCATCAACTCATCAAGGAAGTGCAAGGGTTTGAGGGATTTTCCTTTCCTAGCTGAGGGAAGGCATGACAGACTGTACCTGGAAAAACAGGACACTCTCACCCAAATGCTGCACTTTTCCCACAGTCTTAGCACCTGGCAGACCAGGAGATTCTCTCCTGTGCTGGGTTCATTGAGTCCCACACCCAGAGAGCCTTGTTCACTGCTAGGGAAGCAGTCTGAGATTAACCTTCAAGGCAGCAGCTGGGCAGGGGGAGGTGAATCTGCAATTTTTGAGGTTTGAGTAGGTAAATAAAGTGGTCAGGAAGCTTGAACTGGGTAGAGCCACTCACAGCTCAGCAAGGCCTACTGCCTTAATAAACTCAAACTCTGTGGGCAGGGCATAGCTGAGTAAAAGGTAGCAGAAACTTCTGCGGACTTAAACATCCCATCTGACAGCTCTGAAGAGAGCCGTGGTACTCCCGGCATGGTGTTTGAGCTCTGAGAATGGACATACTGCCTCCTCAAGTGGGTCCCTGAACCCCATGTAGCCTAACTGGGAGACAACTCCTAGTAAGGGCCAACAGACACCTCATACAGGTGGGAGCCCCTCTTCAATGAAGCTTCCAGGGAAGGATCAGGAAGCAATATTTGCTGTTCTTCAGCCTCTTCTGGTGATACCCAGGCAAACAAGGCCTGGAGTGGACCTCCAGCAAAATCCAACAGACCTGCAGCTGAGGGATCTGACTGTTAGTAGGAAAACTAACAAACAGAAAGGAATAGCATCAACATAAAAAAAAAGGACATCCACACCAAAACCCCATCTCTAGGTTAACAACATCAAAGACCAAAGGTAGAGAAAACCACAAAGATGGGAAGAATCCAGAGCAGAAAAGATGAAAATCCTAAAACCCAGAACACTTCTTTTCCTTCAAAGGATTGCAGCTCCTCACCAGCAACAGAACAAAGCTGAAGGGAGAATGACTTTGACCTGTTGACAGAAGGAGGCTTCAGAAGGTTGCTAATAAGAAACTTCTCTGAGCTAAAAGAGCGTGTTTGAACACACTGCAAGGAAGCTAAAAACCATGAAAAATGGTCAGACAATGGCTAACTAGTATAAACAGTGTAGAGAATACATTAATGACATTATGGAGCTGATATGGCACAAGAACTTTGTGGCACATGCACAACCTTCAAAAGCTGATTCAATCCAGTGGAAGAAAGCATATCAGTGATTGAAGATCAAATTAATAAAATACAGTGAGAAGGTAAGTTTAGAGTAAAAAGATTGGAAAGAAACAAACAAAGCCTCCATGAAAAATGGAACAATGTGAAAAGACCAAATCTACATTTGCTTGGTGTACCTAAATGTGATGGAGAGATTGGAACCAAGTTGGAAAACACTCCTTAGGTTATTATTCAGAAGAACTTTTCCAACATAGCAAGGCAGGCCAACATTCAAATTCAGGAAATACAGAGAATACCACAAAGATACTTCTAGATAAGAGCAACCCCAAGACACTAATTGTCAGATTCACCAGGGTTGAAATGAAGGAAAAAATGTTAAGGGCAGCCAGAGAGAAAGGTTGGGTTATCCACAAAGGGAAGCCCATCAGACTAACAGCAGATCTGTCAGCAGAAACCCTGCAAGCCAGAAGAAAGTGGGGACCAATATTCAACATTCTTAAAGAAAAGAATTTTCAGCCCAAAATTTCATATCCAGCTAAACTAAGCTTCATAAGTGAAGGAGAAATAAAATCCTTTACAGACAAGCAAATGCAGAGAGATTTTGTCACCACCTGGCCTGCCTTACAAGAGCTCCTGAAGGAAGCACTAAGAATGGAAAGGAACTACCAGTACAAGCCCCTGCAAAAAACATGTCAAATTGTAAAGAACATTGATACTATGAAGAAGCTGCATCAAAAAATGGGCAAAAGATCAAGCTAACATTATAATGACAGGATCAAATTCACACATAACAATATTGATCTTAAATGTAAATGGACTAAATGCCCCAATTAAAAGACATAGACTGGCAAATTGGATAAAGAGTCAAGACCCATCAATGTGCTGTATTCAGAAGACACATCTCACGTGCAGAGACACACATAGGCTCAAAATAAAGGGATGAGGAAGATCTACCAAGCAAATGGAAAGCAAAAAAAAAAAAATTTTTAAAGCAGGGGTTGCAATCCTAGTCTCTGATAAAACAGACTTTAAACAAACAAAGATCAAAGGACACTAAGAAGGCCATTATACAATGGCAAAAGGATTAATTCAGCAAGAAGAGCTAACTACTGTAAATATATATGCACCCAACACAGGAGGACCCGGATTCATAAATTAAGTCCTTAGATACCTACAAACAGACTTAGACTTCCACAAAATAATCATGGGAGATTTTAACACCCTACTGTCAATATTAGACAAATCAACAAGACAGAAGGTTAACAAGGATATCCAGGACTTCAGCTCAGCTCTGCACCAAGCAGACCTAACAGAAATCTACAGAACTCTCCACCCCATATCAGCAGAATAAACATTCTTCTCAGTACCACATCACACTTATTCTAAAATGGATCACATAATTGGAAGTAAGCACTCCTCAGCAAATGTAAAAGAACAGATATCACAACAAACTGTCTCTCAGATCACAGAGCAATCAAATTAGGACTCAGGATTAAGAAACTCACTCAAAACAGCATAAGTTCGTGGAAACTGAACAAACTGCTCATGAATGACTACTGGGTAAATAATGAAATAAAGGTAACAATAAAGATGTTCTTGGAAACCAGTGAGAACAAAGACAAAAAACACCAGAATCTCAGGGACACATTTAAAGCAGTGTGTAGAGGGAAATTTATAGCACTAACTGCCCACAAGAGAAAGCAGAAAAGATCCAAAATTGACACCCTAACATCACAATTAAAAGAACTAGAAAAGCAAGAGCAAACACATTCAAAAGCTAGCAGAAGGCAAGAAATAACTAAAATCAGAGCAGAACTGAAGGAAATAGAGACACCCTTCAAAAAATTAATGGATCCAGGAGCTGTTTTTTTGAAAGGATCAACAAAATTGATAGACCACTAGCAAGACTAATACAGAAGAAAAGAGAGAAGAATCAAATAGATGCAATAAAAAATGATAAAGGGGATATCACCACCGATCCCACAGAAATACAAACTACCATCAGATAATACTACCAACACCTCTACACAAATAAACTAGAAAATCTAGAAGAAATGGATAAATTCCTATATACATACACTCTACCAAGACTAAACCAGGAATAACTTGAATCTCTGAATAGACCAATAACAGGTTCTGAAATTGTGGCAATAATCAATAGCTTACCAACCAAAAGGAGTCCAGGACCAGATGGATTCACAGACGAATTCTGCCAGAGGTACAAGGAGGAACTGGTACCGTTCCTTCTGAAACTATTCCAATCAATAGAAAAAGAGGAAATCCTCCCTAACTCATTTTATGAGGCCAGCATCATCCTGATACCAAAGCCAGGCAGAGACACAACCAAAAAAGAGAATTTTAGACCAATATCCTTGATGAACATTGATGCAAAAACCCTCAATAAAATACTGGCAAACTGAATACAGCAGCACATCAAAAAGCTTGTCCACCATGATCAAGTGGGCTTCATCCCTGGGATGCAAGGCTGGTTCAATATACACAAATCAATAAATGTAGTCCAGCATATAAACAGAACCAAAGACAAAAACCACATGATTATCTCAATAGATACAGAAAAGGCCTTTGACAAAATTCAACAACCCTTCATGCTAAAAACTCTCAATAAATTAGGTATTGATGGGACGTATTTCAAAATAATAAGAGCTATCTATGACAAACCCACAGCCAATATCATACTGAATGGTCAAAAACTGGAAGCATTCCCTTTGAAAACTGACACAAGACAGGGATGCCCTCTCTCACCACTCCTATTCAACATAGTGTTGGAAGTTCTGGCCAGGGCAATTAGGCAGGAGAAGGAAATAAAGGGTATTCAATTAGGAAAAGAGGAAGTCAAATTGTCCCTGTTTGCAGATGACATGATTGTGTATCTAGAAAACCCCATTGTCTCAGCCCAAAATCTCCTTCAGCTGATAAGCAACTTCAGCAAAGTCTCAGGATACAAAATCAATGTACAAAAATCACAAGCATTTTTATACACCAATAATAGACAAACAGAGAGCCAAATCATAAGTGAACTCCCATTCACAATTGCTTCAAAGAGAATAAAATACCCAGGAATCCAACCTACAAGGGACGTGAAGGACCTCTTCAAGGTGAACTACAAACCACTGCTCAAGGAAATAAAAGAGGATACAAACAAATGGAAGAACATTCCATGCTCATGGGTAGGAAGAATCAATATCGTAAAAATGGTCATAATGCCCAAGGTAATTTATAGATTCAATGCCATCCCCATCAAGCTACCAATGACTTTCCTCACAGAATTGGAAAAACTACTTTAAAGTTCATATGGAACCAAAAAAGAGCCCGTATCGCCACGTCAATCTTAAGTCAAAAGAACAAAGCTGGAGGCATCACACTACCTGACTTCAAACAATACTACAAGGCTACAGTAACCAGTAACCAAAACAGCACGGTACTGGTACCAAAACAGAGATATAGACCAATGGAACAAAACAGAGCCCTCAGAAATAATGCCACATATCTACAACTATCTGATCTTTGACAAACCTGAGAAAAACAAGCAATGGGGAAAGGATTCCCTATTTAATAAATGGTGCTGGGAAAACAGGCTAGCCATTTGTAGAAAGCTAAAGCTGGATCCCTTCCTTACACCTTATACAAAAATTAATTCAAGAAGGTTTAAAGACTTAAACATTAGACCTAAAACCATAAAAACCCTAGAAGAAAACCTAGGCAATACCATTCAGGACATAGGCATGTGCAAGGACTTCATGTCTAAAACACCAAAAGCAATGGCAACCAAAGCCAAATTGACAAATGGGATCTAATTAAAGAGCTTCTGCACAGAAAAGAAACTACCATCAGAGTGAACAGGCAACCTACAGAATGGGAGAAAAGTTTTGCAACTTACTCATCTGACAAAGGGCTAATATCCAGAATCTACAATGAACTCAAACAAATTTACAAGAAAAAAACAAACAATCCCATCAAAAAGTGGGTGAAGGACATGAACAGACACTTCTCAAAAGAAGACATTTATACAGCCAGAAAACACATGAAAAAATTCTCACCATCACTGCCCATCAGAGAAATGCAAATCAAAACCACAATGAGATACCATCTCACACCAGTTAGAATGGTGATCATTAAAAAGTCAGGAGGCAACAGGTGTTGGAGAGGATGTGGAGAAATAGGAACACTTTTACACTGTTTGTGGGACTGTAAACTAGTTCAACCATTGTGGAAGTCAGTGTGGTGATTCCTCAGGGATCTAGAACTAGAACTACCATTTGACCCAGCCATCCCATTATTGGGTATATACCCAAATGACTATAAATCATGCTGCTATAAAGACACATGAACACGTATGTTTATTGCGGCTCTATTCATAATAGCAAAGACTTGGAACCAACCCAAATGTCCAACAATGATAGACTGGATTAAGCAAATGTGGCACATATACACCATGGAATACTATGCAGCCATGAAAAATGATGAGTTCATGTCCTTTGTAGGGACATGGATGAAACTGGAATCCATCATTCTCAGCAAACTATCACAAGGACAAAAAACCAAACACTGCATGTTCTCACTCATAGTTGGGAGTTGAAAAATGATTACACATGGACACAGGAAGAGGAACATCACACTCTGGGGACAGTTATAGGGTGCAGGGAGAGGGGAGAGATAGCATTAGGAGATATACCTAATGCTAAATGACGAGTTAATGTGTGCAGCACACCAGCATGGCACATGTATACATATGTAACTAACCTGCACATTGTTCACATGTACCCTATAACTTAAAGTATAATAAAAAATTAATTAATAAATATATATTCCTCAATTAAAAAAAAGAACTCTGAGTGTACTGATAGCCAAGCTGAGACAGTAAAAAGCATGATATAGTAAAGTCATGATCAATTTGGACACATACTGATATTGGGCTAAGATGGAGATTAAAATATGTATATCAGTGTTAAAAAAAAAAAGAAAGACTGTTATGCAACACTCCAGAAACTCTTAAAACTCACATTTGATAAAGAGACTGTTACTCAAAACACTTCAATAACTCTTAAAACTCACATCTGATAAAGAGACTTTACACAAAACACTCCAATAACCCTTAAAACTGACATCCGATAAAGAGACTGTTTTGCAAAACATTCCAAAAACTCTTAAAACTCACATCTGATAAAGAGACTGTTAGGCAAAACATTCCGAATACTCTTAAAACTCGCATCTGATAAAGTGGCTGTTATACAAAGCACTCCAAAAACTGTTAAAACTCACATCTGATAAAGAGACTGTTTCACAAAACATTCCAAAAACTAAACTCACATCTGATAAAGAGACTGTTACGCAAAACATTCCAAAAACTCTTAAAACTGTACAGTAAGAAAACCACCTAATAAAATAGACCAAAGACCTTAACAGATACCTCACCAATTATGAGAACCATATAGGAAATAAACTCATAAAAGAATGCATTATATTGTGTAACGTTAGGGTAACATATTAAAACAATGAGATACCGCTACATACCTAGTAGAATGGCCAAAATCTGGAGCACTGACAACAACTGATATTGAGAATGTGCAGCAACAGGAACTCTCATTCAGACTGTGGAAATGCAAAGCGGTACAGTCACTCAGTTGGAGGACAATTTGTTCTTAGAAAAATAAACATATTCTCACCATATGATCCAGCAACTGCATCCCTTGGTAGTTACCCAAAGTAAGTGAAAATAAATGCTATCATAAAAACCTGTGAACAGGGATTTATAGCAGCTTTATTCAAAATAACTAAAATTTGGAAGCAACCAAGATGCCCTTCAGTAAGTGAATGGATAAACTATGGTACACACAATAGAACATAATTCAGCACTAAAAAGAAATGGGCTATCTTGTCCTCAAAAGATGAGGAAACTTAAAAGCATATTACTAAGTAAAAGAAGGCAGTCTGAAAAGGCTACTTACTATATAACTGCAACTATGTAACATGCGAAATGATGGAGATGGTTTGCAGGGTTAAGGGGATGATATGTAATAAACAGGAAGAGCAGGGATGACTTTTAGAACAAAGTGTTCTGTGAGGTACTATAAGGCTGGATACATGTCATTATACATTTACTCAAACCCATAGCATGTAAAACCACAAGAGTAAACCCTAATGTAAACTATGGCCTTTGGACAACTATGATGTCTCAATGTAGGTTCCTCTATTTTAACAAAGGTACTACCATGGTTGGGGGAGGTGTTGAAAAGGGCGAAGGATACATATATATGTGCATTAGGGTATATAGGAAATCTATGTACTTCTTAATTCTGCTGTGAAGTTAAAACTGCCTTAACTAATGAAGTATATTTATTCTAAAAAGGAATCTAACCATCTAAAAATGTTTTTAATAACAAAAATTAAATCAATATTAAAAACCACTTCGCCATTTGTAATAAGAACTCTCACTAATAATGAATGCATAAAGAAAATGTGGTCTATACATGCAATGAATTATTACTCAGCCTTAAAAAGGAAGAAAATCTTGCCATTTGCAGAAACATGCACATACCAGAAAGATATTGTGCTAAGAAATAAGCCAAACAGGAACAAAGTATTACATAATCCCATCTGCAATAGTCTGGATGTATGTATTCCCCTCTAATTCCTATGTTGAAATCTTATCACCAAGGTGATAGTATTAGAAGGTGAGGCCTCAGGGAAGTGATGAGGTGAGGGCTCTTCCCTCTCGAATGGACTGGGAGTATATTCATTCTCTGCCACTCTTTTGTCTTCCACCATGTAAGGATGCAGGAAGAAGTCTCTCATCAGGTACCAGATGACAGTGCCTTGATCCTGGACTTCCCAGCTTCCAGAACTGTTAAGAATAAATTTCTGTCCTTTATTAATTACCAAGTCTGAAGGATGCTGTTGTTCCAGCTCAAATGAAGCCATGCTTCCTGTACAGCCTGAGGAACTCCAAGTATATAAAAATGTAAAACAGTTAAACTTACACAAACATAGAGCTGAATCTTGGTTACCAAGGGCTGAGGGGGAAGGGTAACTGGGGGGGTATTGGTCGCAGGGTATAAGTTTTAGTTATGCAATGAGTAAGTTCTAAATATCGAATCTACAGATCAAAGCCTGTAGTTAATACGGAATTGCATACTTAAAAATTTGTTAAGAGGATGGTATTGTTTCGATTTGTTTACTTGCCCAAATCTCATGTCAAATTGTAAGCCTCAAGGCTGGCTGTAGGAGGGGCCTGGTGGGAGGTGACTAGATCAGGGGGCAGACTTGCCCCTTGCTGTTCTCCTGTTAGTAAATTCTCACGAGATCTGGTTGTTAAAAGTGTATAGAACCTCCCTCTTCACCACCCACTTTCTCCTGCTCCAGACACATAGGACGTGCCTGCTTCCCCTTCATCTTACACCATAATTGTAAGTTTCATGAGGCCTCCCCAGCCATGCTTCCTCTACAGTCTGTGGAACTGTGAGCAAATTAAACCTCTTTTCTTTATAAATTACCCAGTCTGAGGTAGTTTTTTATAGCAATGGGAGAATGGACTTATACAGAGAATATATCTTAAGTCAGATGGTTGTATCCCAAAAGGGGCAGGGAGGGGGGAAGAAATTTGTGGAGGCAAAGGTTGTTTATCACACTGTTTGTGGTGTCAGTTCGATGGGTGAATACTTATCTCTACAGGTAAGTATATTTCGCATGTGGAAGGAATGTAAACAATTTGTAGCCAGAGGGAAAACTGTGGTTTATTAAAGACTGATAAAGATTCTTACTATTCCTCTTATTGAGATGTAGAAGCTAATTACTGTCTAATCTAATACTGTATGTAAAGGAAAAGAGAAGGATATAATTTTATTTTGGATTTAAGCTTGAGGTGCCTTTCGGATAGCTACAAAGAATCATTCAATGGAGAGCTGAACCTGTGGTCTAGAGCAGTGATCCCCAAACTTTTTGGCACCAGGTTTTGTGAAAGACAATTTTTCCATATACCAGGGTGTGAGGGGGGATGGTTTTGGGATGAAATTGTTCATCAGACATTAGATTCTCATAAGGAGCAGGTAACCTAGATCCCTCACATGCATATTTCACAATAGGGTTCATGCTCCTGTGAGAATTTAATGCTGTCATTCATCTGACAGGAGGCAGAGTGCAGGCAGTAATTCTTGCTTGCCTGCTACTCATCTCCTGCTGTGCAGCGCAGTTCCTCACAGGACACACATTGGAGCAGTCCATGGCCTGGGGGTTGGGATCCCTGGTCTAAAGGCCGGAGAAGTCCAAGCTGGAGAGAAACACAACTGCTACAACACAGACAGCAGAACTGGTAATAAACAAACAACCAACAACAAAAAAAGAACTGCACATTGGGATGGATGGGGAATTGGATGAAACAACTGGATAAGCTATGTAAAGGAGAAGTAGAAGAATTCAGGAAAAAAAGACAAGCAGCATCAGTGAGGTCATGATAGAAACTAACACAGAAGAATTTCCAGGAGAAGATCATGAACAATAATTTGAAATGCAGGAATCCCCCCTTATCCATGAGGGATACATTCCAGGTCCCCTAGTGGGTCCCTGAAACTGTGTATAGTACCAAACCCTATATACACTATGTTTTTTCCTATATATACACACCCTTGACAGTTTAATTTATAAATTAGGCACAGTATGATATTACCGACAATAAAATGGAACAATTAGGTCAACATACTATACTAAAAGTTATAGGAATGTGGTGTCTCAAAATATCTTCTTCTACTGTATTCAACATATTCAAAATATCAAAATATTCAAGATATTCAAAATATCTTATTGTCTTTTCTGTCTGCAGTTGACTACAGGGAACTGAAACAACAGAAAGCAAAACTGTGGATAAAGGGGATTACTGTACGGCACAAGATTCAAGTAAGGCAGACTAGCGTATAGCCATTGGAGTTGCATATAATTTGGGTTAATGGGTAGCATTAGAATAAACCAATTAAGACTACATTGAATGAAAGTGCAAGTGAGCAGTGGAAATATTTGTCAGAGAATACAATTGTGAACAATCTGCTACAAATTCTCCATGTACAGATGAATTGACAGAAATGTATGGGGGGTTAGTTAAGGACCTGTGGTCAACTCAATCCTCCAGATGTTCTAGGATTTAGCCATGAATCAAGTAGGGCCTTCCAAAATCTGTCTGGGACCACACTGTTTCAGCAACCAGAAAAACCTCATTACAGGAGTTATGCTTTAGCACTAAGTGACTATTTATACTGCAAAATGCTAAAAGTGTTTACTTCCAGGTTGGCAGTAAAAAAACCTTTTCACTACATCATCTCTGTGACCAATGCAGTCAGTGTTCCAGACTTTGGTGACAGCAAGTCTTCCTGTCCCATGAGAATGGAACATACACTCTTTCCAGGTTCCATTCCAATCATGTAACAAATGTGACTGCCTCTTTGTTGCAGCATCGGAAAGACCAGAGACACATTTGTACTCAAGTTCTATAGCTTATAACCTGCATATGTCTACATGCCAGCATTATTTTATTAATGTGTATTTCCTTTAACCTGAATTTTACTTATTTCTATCTTTTCATTTTAATCCATGGACTCCATAAAGGCAAAAAATACAATGTAAAACAAAGTGAGGAATATATAAACAAATGACTCACCAGAGATTTATTCATTGTTTGCTGATCGTGAAAATGCACAGAGCACTCTGGAAGCATAGCTGTGATAACAGTCGAATGGAGTGGGTTAAGGAGAGAACTGATGTGGCTTGGTCCTAGATTCTCCTGCCCAAAATGTTCTACACAATAGCTGGAAAAGACTAAAACAACAAAAAAACCTCCCTGTGACAGAATAGTCATTCATGCCTCAATAAGGGACAACAAATATCCCACTGAAGATGTACCCACAAGTATATTAACTAGTAGAGATACATACAATTTATTTTGGGATTAATGAAAGCATGTATTACCTACTGATTTAGGGACAATTAATTTATCCAAAAAACAATGTAATAATTTAAAACAAAGAAATATACATTTAGTCTTCAATGAAATTAATATTATAGAAATATAATTCAGCTGCATTAACTATTTCACTACTAATATGGAGATTCTACATGATTCCATATAGGTGTTTCCACTAGAACACATCTTGCTTTTATACCTATGCATCATTGAAAGGATGCATCTTTTATATACCTAAGCATCATTGAAAGGATGTATCTTGCAACCCAACATTTTTTGCCTACAATTATATAGGGGGAAAAATGTACATATTGTATATTTCTTGGGATATACTGTTTTAGTAATGTTTCCTAGTGACAAGTCTCCCTGTATCTAAGACCTCATAGAGTGTGCTCTGATAACAAATGGGGCTCTGTCATTTGACTTGCTTTGGCCAATGGGACATAGAAAATATGATGAAAATGTAGGTTGGAAAAGTACTTGCCCACTGGTGCTTGCCTTCTTGAACAAGTGTCAGCATGAACCACCAGACATGCGAGTGAAGGCACCAGATGACCAAAGCCTCATTTGTGATCCAGACAACATTAGCAAAGGAAATGCCCAGGTGAACACACACCAAAATGTGAATCAACAGAACTTCTTTTTAAGCCATTGAGTTTCGTTGGTTCTTTACACAGAAAACAGTAACTGATACACCTAAGCCACCAGAACTTAATGTTTTTAAGAAAATCATGTGAAGGAGATAATGTGAAGTTACTTGTCAAATACAATCACTAGAACGTCACAACCTCATGTAGAAGTTTTGTAAATCACAATAAATGCCAACTTGATGGAAATCAGTGAGACTGCTAGTGCTAAGATACCATGTGAATCATAAAAAGCAACTCTTTGCATATTAGTAAACTGTGTTTTAAGGTTCTTTACATCATAAAAATGTCTGTTGACTTTAAAAAAATGCAAAAAAAGGATCTCTTACAAGTGAGCATTGTACTGTATTTTACTTAAGTTTTAAGATACTGGTTGGAATAGAAGTGAGACACTGTCTAATCTTCCCTTTTTAAATATGTAAAATACTCTATTGTTTTCCTACAGAATTTATAATTTCCAAGAACAGATTACTGACACTGAGCGGTAAACACTTGTGTCATTTGTCCTTGAGGTCACATAATTCACAGAAAGAGTTGGGTATAAAAAGGAACAGAGATGGTTAAGGAAATGTTTCTGCTTGGTTGGTTGGTTTGAGACAGAGTCTCATTCTGTCACCCAGGCTGGAGTGCAGTGGCACAACCATAGCTCACTGTAACTTCGCCCTCCTGGGCTCAAGTGATCTTCCCACCTCAGCCCCCCAAGTAGTTAGATCCACAGGTGCATGCCACCACGACCAGCTAAATTTTTTTTTTTTTTTTGTAAACACATAGGGTCTCCCTATGTGGCCAAGACTAGTCTCAAACTCCTGGGTGCAAGCGATCCTCCTGTCTTGGCCTCCCAAAATGCTATGATTATGGCTGTGAGACACTGCACCCGGCAAGGGAAAGTACTTTATTATTATTTTTTCCAGTGGGAGGGTTTGGTCAGGCAGTGAGCGGCTGAGAAAGTATTTTAAAGCAATGTTTGTTCTTAGTTGACTTCAGTGTCAACAAAAATCTAAAAAAAAAAAAAAGGAAAAAAAAGTTTTGACTTAACTGGGGCAAAATGAGTAACACTAGCCAAAAAGTCAGGATGCATAACATCTGTATATCATGTGACCCTGGCAAGTCCCAGCTCCTCAAAGCCAAATTTTTTTCATCTTTCTCATAAGGTAGAAATAGTTTGGCAAACGCTTACTGAACTACCAGGAAGAGCTACCAGGATAGAGGGAGCTTTGGCATATCACTAGATGCTAAATTTCGTGACTGGATGCTACATTTGGTGACAAGTTTTTTTTCTTTTCCTTTTTTTTTTTTTTTGAGAGACAGAGTCTCGCTCTGTTGCCCAGGCTAGAGTAGGGTGGCACAATCTCGGCTCACTGCAACCTCCACCTGCCCAGTACAAGTGATTCTCTTGCCTCAGTTTCCCAAGTAGCTGGGACTATACAGGTGTGCACCACTATGCCCAGCTAATTTCTGTATTTTTTAGTAGAGACAAGGTTTCACTATATGTTGGCCAGGCTGGTGTCAAACTCCTAACCTCAGGTGATCCTCCCGTCTTGGCCTACACTACTTTTAAGAAAGTTCAGCCACTAGAAACAATGAGAAAAGATTGAAGGAATGAAAGTGTCTTTACAGAGTACTCCAGACAGATCCTCTCAGGAGTAACAGGTTATTTTTCCACCGAAGACCACACTATTAAGTCCCCTCCAATAAGTCACATCTCTTTGGCCCTTGCCTGCATTCGCAGCCAAACTCCCCTCTTCCTTCTGAATGTTGGTCCAAACCTTCCGCTACCACCCAGTGTTTGAGAGCTACTGGATAAGGTCTTATCAACCAAATCTTGGCCACTCTGGGGAGTGGGAAAATAACTGCTTGGGTCATACAAACTGGAATCTTCACCTGTGACGCTTCCTCTGCTTTGAAGTACCAGTGAGAAGGTTTGTCCAAAGAGGGGTTCTTTCAGGTGGGATTCCTAAAAGGCGCCCTCTTCCAAACTTTGTACTTACCTTATTACACAGAAAACAGGACCATCATCTGGATCCCCAACTTCCCTAGAAACCAGATCTTTTATAAACTCCTATAAACTAAAACATGGATGGGATGAGTAGGAATGGGACACAAGGAGAATCTTCACTTGCTGAAAGACACCGGGAAACCCTACTAATACACTCGCCAGGCAGTAGGACGGTGTGCACGCATTTCGTAGTCCTCTTCTGGGAATGAGGGGCATCTCCCTAGAACTGTCCATATGCTGATCTTACAATGGCGTGCACGGAATGCTGCACAAGGTCCATGCAGTGCCGGAGCGCAGCCTCCCCGCAGACCTCCCAGGCTCGGGCGGTCTGCAGACCCCTTTCCCGCGCCACCGGCTTCGCCCAGCCGCTTTGGCGCCTCTGGAACTGGCTTCAGTGCGGGGATTCCACGCCCGCCCTCCCAGCAGCGCCGCCCTTTCAGCCCCAGCCGGGGTCCGCGGCCCGCACCTGTGCGTCAGGCCCCGCCCCCTCAATATGTGCCCACGCCTCTGCTCCCACCAACTGTGGCACGTCGGTCCCGCCTCCCAGTGGTGCCTCCAAGCCCGCTGTCTCCTGTTTCATCCCACCACCAACCTGCAGGGACAAAGACCCGAACCCCAGAGCTTCCAGAACAGCCTCTTATTGCAGCAGGAGCCGGGATTCTCTGACGGAAGATGGCGGGAGTGGGCGGGGCGGCGTTTGAGCAAAGAGCCCTTCCCACCGTCCTGTGCTGGTGACGTGATTGGAAGCCGAGACTGCATTTCCCACTAGACATTGCAGTATTGAGGCGGGAAATTCTGTTCCAAGCGGGAGACGAGGATGGATAGGGATTGGTGTCTGTCCGCCTGGCAGACGTGTAATCTGGTTATTAAATCCTGGCTTGACAACTAGGCACACTGTGCAAATATTGGGAAAATTCGAATGCCGGCCAACTAGTCAATTATATTAGCAAGTAATCTTACTTTTTTTTTTTTTTTTAGTTCTAAGTGTTGCTGTCACAGAAAAAAACTTTTTTTTTCCTTTTTTAACGGATTCTCCCTCTGTCTCCCAGGCTGGAGTGCAGTGACGGGATCTCAGCTCACTGCAGCCTCCGCCTCCCAAGTTCAAGCAATCCTCCTGCCTCAGCCTCCAGAGGAGCTGGGACTACAGGCATGCGCCACCATGCTCGGCTAATTTTTGTATTTTTAATAGAGATGGGGAATCCCCATGTAGGCTAGACTGGTCTCGAATTCGTGGCCTCAAGTGATCTGCCCACCTTAGCCTTCAAAAATGCTGGACTAGAGGACTAAAGAGAATAGAGAGACCAATATGAAATAGAGGATAGAGAGACCTAGAGAGACCGATATGGAGAACAGGATGATTGTTTATTTTAGGGTACTCACTGGATTCGTGGATTCATATCTAAAAATATGAGCACTGAACAAAGACTGAGCAGGGCTTTTCTAAGCAAACTTACAGAAGCAAAACAAAAGCAGTTAATCCTACAGTGACAGGTCACGTAATCTATAGCATAACTGTTGACTTGGCATAACTTGTGGCCTTGCATGGCTAGTGGCCTTGTAGCTGCATCAAAAGAAAAATAAGAACTGGCTAAATACAGAAATTTGTAAAACATCATCATGCTTAAGAAGCCAGGGAAAGGAGTAACAGTAAAGGAATTTGTCTTTCTTTCTTGTTTTTTTTCTTTTCACTTTGCTCTGGAAGTGGGAGTTGTCTGGAGCCTATTCCTTTGGCCTTGGCTTCTCAAACAGTGTTATAACTGTCTTTGAAGTGAGCTTACTAGGCAGAGGAAAACTTGTTCTTTTCTTTTTAACCTTTGCCTTGCCTGTTACTTTTCTTGGAGTGAATGAATGCTTATTTATTTTTAAATTTCTGCCTCAGTTTCCTCCTTTTGATGTCTTTTATAAAAGAAGTTTAATAGAAGGCATCACTATTACTTAATTCTGCCTGAAGAGACAAGTTTTCTTCTTTAGGCACAGGCTGATATTTATATAGATCCATTAGCTGAGTGGTAGTTTGCTTAGCTGCTTTTGCCTCTATAGTTGATTGAATGCTTCTAACAAGGAGGGGTAAGAGGGAAGGGAGTACTGGGCAAACTCTTAGTATGGCCAGGACTATTCTTATTGAAGTCTTGAATCCACTGAAGGAGGAAAACCAGCCTCCAAAGAGGGAATCTGGAGACTAACTTTTCCAAGTTTGAACTGGAACATGGGGTAATTTTCTCATTCTTGCAGTTATTTCTATAATTGCCTTTCCATTGTCATCGATTTCCAGGCAGAAATTAGTTAGATTGAACCTTCCACATTCTCCTCCTTCCTGGGCTTCCTAGCTAATAGTATAAAGCTAATCTGTTGTGATAAATAACATTCTTCATTTTTGTGGCTTGCTGGGCCAGTAAATCTAATGCTTTTGCTGTTTCATTAGTGATCATTTCAAGTACTGCCTTCAACCTTATGATATGGCTAAGCATGTAAATAGGAGTGCGGTACCCTCATGACCTATCTTGTGCCTAGGTAGCTGGCCTATAGTATTGAATTATTCTTTTAGGGGGGTAATCTGTGTCTTTCTAATTTCCTATTTCTGTATCTCTTTTTATGTCTGCATCTCTTTTGCTTCTTCTTCTAACTTCATCATAGACGGGATACCTTAAAGTTTCTCCCTGTTGCAGTGGGAGTAGGAGGAAAGATGGTCTAATTGTTTCAAACACACAGGACTTTGTCCATTTAGCTGGCAACTGTCGATATGCCTGTGGCTTACAGATGCCAATAAAGACCAAGGGGCGCTTGCCAAGTATTTCGAGCTTCAAGCTGATACTAGGTGTGGTTTAGAGGAGAGAAACAGGAGAACGGATTTGGTTGAGGTGCTTTGGAGTCATCTCTGCCTCGCCACAAAGTTTTCTTTAGTGTTTCATTATAATATTGCTGTCCTAAGAAGGTTAGTTCTCCTACTGCGTCTGTAAAAGCGTTTCTTCAGGGAGCAACACAGTATCTCCTGATAATAGAAGTTTTTAAGAGTCAGACGCTTGGACTTGTGGGCATCGGTTCGGAGGAAGGGTCTATTAGAGTCAAATTATTTTGTGGCATTAACTGTTTTGCTTCCTAAGGCCATTGGTCTACTACGTTAGTCTTTCTAGAAACATAACATGAAACGCCCATGCTGCCGGCAGTGTGTTCAGCCAGCTGAGCAAACAGGTTTTTGGCTAAAGGAGTAGGCTCTGGTAACTTCTGGTCTACATGCTTATAGAATGACTTAAAGATTTGGAACTGTTGCTGGGCTGGATGGGTCTGGGTTCTTTGTTTGATAACATATAGGAGGATTGCTGGGTATGTATGCATATACAAATGAATGGGGTAACATGCAGTCTACATGGGTAAGTCTGGCTTTAGAAGGGTGAAATTTACAGGATTACAGGTTTTTGCTTCACAATCTGGTTTCAACAGCATTTTGGTAAAAGCATAATTGACCTTTGTTGTGTGCTAGGGTGCTACGACATGCAAGGCCAAAAATCTTTTTCTGGGGTCCTAGGGGAAGAAGATAGAGTTACTCTTGGCATGCATACATATTTGTAGTCATTTTCTATAGTATCTTTCTAAAGGTAGGTTACCACAGACAAGGGAGTCTTGGTCTGCTGCCTGACAAGCATCAAAATACAGATAAATAGGCCCTTGGTTAAAGGGAGGGACCCTGGTTTGGTTTAAGAGGGGACCTTCCTTTGACCTCTCATGATAAGTCTCTGGGCAATGTTTCTTCAGTAACTGCTTGAGTGTCTGGTTCATGCGTTCTACTTTTCTTGAACTTTGCAGCCGACAGGCTGTGTATAACTTCTATTTTATTTTTAACATTCTTGTTAAATCTTGCACTCTTTCAGCTACAAATGCTGGCCTATTGTCTGACTTTAAAGTTACAGGCTGTCAAAACCTAGGGATAATGTCTTTTAGTAGTACTTTAGTCATTTCTCGTGCTTTTCTGTCTTGGTGGGGAATGCCTCAACCTATCCTGAAAAAGTGCAAATAAACACTAGCATAAACGGATAGCCTCTGGCACGGGGCATTTTGGTAAAGTCTATAAGCAAGTTTTCACAAGGCACGAAGGCATGGCTCCTTCTCCTGTTCCATTTCTTAGAGGAGAGGTTTTTTTTTTTTCTCTCTCTCTCTGTCTCTTTTTCTTTTGTACCTTCATATAATGGCTTAGCCATCAGTGAGAAATTTATAATCTAGATACAGCAGAATCTTGCTGCTTTAAACTTCTAATGTGACGATGGGCTTTTGGAGGCCTAATAAGAAGAAGCGTGGTCTGTTTTAGTCCTCACATCTTTCAGCTCCTGCTAGCCTGATCAGATCAGTATCTGGTTCCTCCAAGGTGCGGCAGCCTTTGGCCAATGGCCTCTTTGTCTTGCGGCCTTGGCCATTTCTTTCATTGCCTTCTGGACATTCATCTTTATAGTGTCCTTTCTTTTTGCATCTTGCACACTGATCCTTCTCTAGCCTTGGGCAACTTTGAAATACTTATCTAACTTGACTTATTCTATGTCCACACCTGTGTCCACGTCATCTTACATTGCTAATCTCTTTTTCTATAAAGGCTGCTGCCAACAGATCTTAAGCCTCCAGTCTGCTCCTTTCTTTGATTTCTGGTCACGGTTAACAACACTTTGGTGGCTACTTCTACAATCTGGGTGTCATTCATACCTGAAAAACTTTCTAACTTCTTCTTCTTTTTTTTTTTTTTTTTTTTCAGACGGAGTTTCACTCTTTCTCCCAGGCTGGAGTGCAGTAGTACGATCTTGGCTCACTGCAACCTCTGCCTCCTGGGTTCAAGCAATTCTCTGCCTCTGCCTCCCAAGTAGCTGGGATTACAGGTGCCTATCACCACTGCCAGCTAATTTTTTGTATTTTTAGTAGAGATGGGATTTCACCATCATGGCCATGCTGATCTTGAACTGCTGACCTCGTGATCCACCCACCTTGGCCTCCCAAAGTGCTGGGATTACAGGTGTGAGCCACCGCACCCGGCCAAAACTTTCTAACTTCTGAAGATTTCATTTGATATCACCTTGGGCCTGTCCTACAAATGACATATTCATTATACACTGATTTTCAGTGGCCTCAGGGTCAAACGGGGTGAAAGCCAGTATGCCTCACAGAATCTTTCATAAAACTGCCTAGGGCTTTCATCACTTCCTTGAAGCACTTCTGAAATCTTCTTTATATTAATGGCTTTCTTTCCACCATCTCAGTCTTTGCAGAAGTGCCTCTTGGTACCTCTGCAAACACTGAAGCTGAGTTGCATCCTCTGGGTCCTAGTTAGGATCTAGGTCGGGAACCGACCTTGAGTGTGTGCCTGAGCATGCGCTGTGTCTGCTGATGCCTGGGCTTCTATGCAGCGTCTGGAAACTGACCTTGAGTGTATGCCTGAGCATGCACTCTGTCTGCATCATGCCAGAGCATGCACTGCGTCTGCTGATGCCTGGGCTTCTAGCCAGAATCTGGAAACTGACCTTGGGTGTATGCCTGAGCATGCACTGCATCTGCTGATGCCTGGGTTTCTAGCCAGCGGAGAGCTGCCTAGGTTACTCCCAGGCACTCCTCAGTGTTAAATAACGTGAGAAGGAGCTGCTGGCAGTCTGGTCAGTTGGATTGTGTGTCAGAAAGATGGATTGCAACAGATCTATAAGACCTTGAGGCTTCTCTGTGTAGGAGGGAGTATGGTGTTTCCAGTTTAAAAGATCAGTGGTTGAAAAGGGCTGACTGATGAAAGTCCATTGCCTTCTTTGGACTTGGCCTTGGTCATCATAATAAATGGGTCCTCGTGTCTCCTAGAGAGGCATTTGCAGAGCTTGAGCACTGCCAGATCTGAGACAGCCTGCTAGACTATCTTGACTTCATTCCCTGGCCTCTCAACACTCTGATCCTCCCCTTCGTGGTGAAACTTGGGGCATGCTGGCTCTTGAGTCTGGCTCCTGTGGGGCTGTTGGACTTGGTAAAGGCGGATGGGCTGGGACATATGGAGGAAGAATCTCTGTTCTTTCTGGCAGCTCCTGCAAAACTGACTTTTCTTGCTCTCTTTGGGAATTCTTTAACTCTGTGTCTGCCAGTGAAGCTGCTCTTACTTTCACTCTTGGCTGAGCTCAGGCTACATATGTTTCGCGATAAGCTGCTGCACATGGCTGGATCCAGGCCGGTCTTATCTGCTATATTTAACCATGAATCAATATAAGGAAATTGATCTGGATGCCTTAGCTGTCCTCTGACTCTTGTCACCACCTTAAATATACAGCCAATTATTTCCTTATCTATAGTTCCTTTGGTCGGCCATCTAACACTAAAAGAAGGCCATTCTAATTACAGAGAGTTTTCCACCTCTGTGGGATTAGCTTAACTCCCTAATCCTCTGCAAAACCTTTCTTAAAGTTCTGTAACATGCACTCTAACGGGGTAAGTTTGATGACTTTCTTCCTATTCTTTCTTTTACGGCACAGCACACTCTTTCCTCTCATTTTGACCTTCCACACCGTCTCCTATTATGGGAGTTTTCAGAGGCTGCTTGGCTTTGGAGAGTTCCTTATTCCTGCTACAACTCTGAGCTATAGGGTAGTTCTTATTAGCTGTATGCAGATCGCTACTGTTCGTAGTCGGCCTTACACTTTGCTTGGAGCACACAGTCCACTCTAAGAGATCTGTGACTCCTTACTTCGCGGCTGATGAGCTTAATTAGGCCTTTGCATTCACACACGTCTCTACTCCTAGTTCCTGTGTACCTAAGTGGGGTGGCAAGCCACTCTCGGCGTCTCTAGTTTCTTTTTCTTAACCGACTTAGCAAGCCAGTCTCACATCTTGTGTCAGTTGGGGTGTGAGTTTCTTCTGAATTGGTGAGCCTTTCTCACCGCCTTTAGCCTCTCTGGGTTGTACTATTAGGCACACCTCGGGAGGTGGTCAGGCTCCTTTTCCATCCTTATGGGACGGGTCCTGCCTTGGGCCTTAAAACTTTGCTACAGTTCTTGAAGCGCACTGTTTCTGGAATCATCCTGTAGCCTTTCTTTAGGTTCTGTTGCGCTGCTGGGTAGGGGCACCGGGTCACGCGAAAGCCGATCTGCTCTCTAGGCTGAAGTCCTCCTGGTGGCGCCTGGGGTCACAGGTCTCCTGAGGCCTGGGGCTGTAGCCCCTAGAGGCAAAGGAGACAGTGAACTTGCTGTCTCCGGTCCCTTCATGGTTGCCAAAAATGTTGCGGGAAACTGAGGACTAGAGAGACTGATATGGAGAACAGGAGGATTGTTTATTTAAGGTATGCACTGGCTCAGATTTTTTTTTTTTTTTTTTTTGTGATGGAGTCTGGCTCTGTTGCCCAGGCTGGAGCACAGTGGTGCAATCTCAGCTCACTGCAACCTCCGCCTCCTGGGTTCAAGTGATTCTTGTGCCTCAGCCTCCCAAGTAGCTGGGTTTACAGGAGTGCACCATCACACCTGGCTAATTTTTGTGATTTTGGTAGAGACGGGTTCTCTTCATGTTGGCCAGGCTGGCCTTGAACGCCTGACCTCAAAGGATCCACCCACATTGGACTCCCAAAATGCTAGGATTACAGGCTTGTGACACCATGCCTGGCCTACTTCTTTTCTAATCTAGATGGCTTGCATTTATTTCTGTTGCCAAATTGTCCTGGCTAGCACCTCCAGCATAATGATGAAAGGATGTAGTGAGAGTGGATTTATCTATCTTGTTCCTGATCTCAGGATATAAGTATACAGGCTTCCAATATTAAGTATGCTATTGGCTGTGGTTTTAAATATGCTCTTTATTAGTTTAAAAATGTTCCCTTCTTTCCTTCTCTGTTGAATATTTCATCATGAAAGGATGTTGGATTTTGTATCTGCAACTATTGAGATGACTGTGGTCTTGCTTATTGTATTGGTATGGTGTATTACATTAAATAATTTTTGGCTGCTATCCAAACTTGTATACTTGGGATGAATCCAACTTGGTCATGAGGTAGAATTATTTTTACATGTTGCTGTATTCTGTTTGCTTGTATATTATGCATTTATTTTTTATTTTTATTATTATTTTTTGAGATGGAGTCTCACTCTGTCACCCAGGCTGGGATGCAGTGGCACAATCTCAGCTCACTGCAAGCTCTGCCTCCTGGGTTCACACCATTCTCCCTCCTGCCTCAACCTCCCAAGTAGCTGGGACTACAGGTGCCCACCACCACGCCCGGCTAATTTTTTGTATTTTTAGTAGAGACGGGGTTTCACCATGTTAGCCAGGATGGTCTTGATCTCCTGACCTCGTGATCCCCCCACCTCGGCCTCCCAAGGTGCTGGGATAACAGGCGTGGGCCGCCACTCCCAGCCTCTCTGTTTGCTTGTATTTTATTGAAGAGTTTTGATCTGTATTCATAAGATATATTGGTCTGAATTTTTCTTTCCTCTTGATGTCTTTGTATGGCTTTGCTATCATGGTAATACTGGCCTCATAGAATGAGTTGAGACATATCTCTACCACTTTTATCTTTTGGAGAGTTTGGAAAGAATTGATCCTAAATCTTCTTCAAATATTGGACAAAATTCACCAGTGATTTCACCAGGGACATTTATTGCTGTAAATATAGATAATAAAAAAGAGAACTATTTCAAATCAATAACATAACTTTTGACATAAGGACACTGGAAAAAGAAGAGCAAATGGAAGCTAAAGTAAGCCGAACTTCCAGGGCTAGGGCTTTTCTTGGTGTGGAGTGTTTCTTTATTAGTAATTCAATCTCTTTGCTTATCATGTCTAGTGAGAGCATTTTTTATTGCATCAGTGTCACTGGTTTGTGTCTAGGAATTTTTCCATTGTATCTAAATTATCTAATATTTTGGCATACGATTGTTCATATTATTTTTCCTTAAATGTTCTTTTCTTTTTGCAATGCTGGTAGTAATATATCCTCTTTCATTTCTGATTTTAGTTACTTGAGTCTTCTATTTTTCTTAGTCAGTCTAGAAAAATGTTAGGAAAACTCCCTGCCGGAACTGAGCTGTCCTACATAATGGAGAGGAAGCTCTCAGACCAAAGAAAGAGATAGACCATTCCAGGCTGGTAGATAGTCAAAGATTTACTCAGGAGGAACTTACTGGGATAGCCTTGGGCAGCAGAAAGATGACGCAGATCTCCACATTTGCAGTGCATTCCTGTCTAACCTTTTACATCATGAAAATAAAAAGGGAAAAAAGAAAAAAAGCCATTTAAATTGCTCTCTTAATTTATTTACTTTCTACTTAAAGGAATTGTTTCGGTTTCCTACAATCTGGTCAACATTTTTAGGTGAGGGGAAGCAGGGGGATGATCCTAGCAACAGCAGTTATCTTGGTCCTCCAGTTCCTGTGTCGCACAACTCACTACTTCTTGGTAGTATACCCAAAATACATTTTCATGACAATAAGGTTTGTCAATTGTGTTAAGCTTGTTTGAATGTGCTTTTAGTTTCATTGTTTTTCTCTGTTGCTTTTCTATTCTCTGTTTCATTGGTTTCTGCTATGATCTTTATTATTTCCTTCCTTCCGCTTACTTTAGCTTCCATTTGCTCTTCTTTTTCCAGTGTCCTTATGTCAAAAGTTATGTTATTGATTTGAAATAGTTCTCTTTTTTATTATCTATATTTACAGCAATAAATTTCCCTGCAAGCATGTCTTTAATTGTCTTTCATTAAGTTTTGTATGTTGTGACTTCATTTTCATTCCTCTAAGTATATTTTCAAATTTCTGTTTGGATTTCTTCTTTGATTAGTAATTTGGATGTGTGTGGTTTAATTTCAACATATTTCAGTTTCCCTACTTTCTTGTTATTAATTTCTAGGTTCACTCTATTGTGATTGGAGTACATGCTGTTCAGTTCCTTTAATGGCCTAGTGTAGAGTCTATGATGGACAATGTTGATGAGCCCTTGAGAAGAATGTAGCTTCTCTTGTGTGGAATGTTTTGCACGTGTTTTTCAGGTCTAGTTGAACTATGAAGTTGTTTGAATCTTCTTTTTCCTTTTTGCTCTACTGGGTAGTCTTTCTATCCATTAGTCAAAGTGCCATATTGAAGTCTCCAGTCATCATCTATTTTGGCTGTCATTTCTGTCAGTTTTTGTTTCATGTACTTTGGTGATGTTTAATTGGGTGCATATATGTTTATACTTGTACTTTCTTACTGATGGATTGGCCATTTTGTTATTGTAAAATGTCCCACATTATCTCTAAAATTTTTTTTTTTTTTTTTAGACAGAGTTTCTCTCTTGTCACCCAGGCTGGAATGCAATGACGTGATCTCAGCTCACTGCAACCTACGCCTTTTTGTTTCAAGCGATTCTCCTGCCTCAGCCTCCTGAGTAGCTGAGACTACAGGTACATATCATCACAACCCGCTAGATTTTGTATTTTTAGTAGAGACGGGGTTCCACCATGTTGGCCAGGCTGGTCCTGAATTCCTAACCTCAGGTGATCTGCCCACCTTGGCCTCCTAAAGTCCTGGGATTGCAGGCATAAGCCACCTCACCTGGCCGATTTTTTTTTTGTTTTGTTTTAAAATTCATTGTGTCTGATATTAGTATAGCTACTTTAGAATAGCTTTCTCAGGGTTACTGTTTGCATGATATATGTATTTCCATCCTTTTACTCTATTCATATCTTTGAATCTAAAATGTAGATGGCATAGAAGATCTTATTTTTTATTGTCTGACAAGAATTAACTTTTGATTACGTTGTTTAATCAAGTCATATTTAATATTATTATTGATATAATTATATTCATATCAGACATTTAATTTTTGTTTTGTATTCCTTATATGTACTTTTAATTCTCCAGTTCCTGTTTTCTGCTTCCTTTTGCAAACAGTGAATATTTTCTTTCTTTTTCTTTTTTTTTTTTTTTTTTGAGACAGAGTCTCTCTCTGTCGCCCAGGCTGGAGTGCAGTGGTGCGATCTTGGCTCACTGCAAACTCCGCCTCCCAGGTTCAAGTCATTCTCCTGCCTCAGCCTCCTGAGTACCTGGGACTACAGGCACCCGCCACCATGCCCAGCTAATTTTTGTATTTTTAGTAGAGACGGGGTTTCACCATGTTGACCAGGATGCTCTTGATCTCTTGACCTCATGATCCACCCGCCTTGGCCTCCCAAAGTGCTGGGATTGCAGGCATGAGCCACCACGCCCAGCAACAGTGAATATTTTCTAAAATGACAATTACATTTCTTTAATGATTTTAATACTCTGTTTTTGGCTTATTATCCTAGTCAGCGTTCTTGGGATTACACTGTAAATCTTAACCTATCAGAATCAGCTTCAGATTCATGCTAATTCAGAATAGTTTCAGTTAGACACAAAAACATTACCGCTACCTTGCTCCACACCCTTCTGCACATAGCTTTGTACCCTACGTAGTTCTACACCCTTCTTATTGTAACTTTTTAAGGTATTATTCTTATTTGTATTACATCTATAAATACTAAAAACTCAACAATACATCGTTATAATTATTACATCATATAACCATGTCTTTTAAGAAGCTAAGAGGAAAAAGTAAAGCACAGAAATATTTAAAATTTTAAGTTACTTCTTATTTATCATTTATTATTCTCTTCATTTGTTTTTATAGATTTGAGTTGTCTGTAGTCTGATATATGGAGTTGCGGTCTTAATCCAATACAGCTTTGTTCCCACTCACCTCGGTTAGACTGTTATTGGCAAACATATTAAATTTTGTATGTCACAGGACAAACGATACATTGAATAGACATTGTTTTATAAATTGCTTTCCAAATCAAGAGAAAAAATAGAAAAATGTGCATTTATACTGCCGTTTATTATTTTCATAATATAAAATATATTAGTTTTAGAGTTTCATATTTACCTTTACTGATGCGTGTGTGTGTGTGTGTGTGTGTGTGTGTAAATTTGGATTATTGTCTGGGGTAATCATTTTCAGCCTGAACAACTTCTTTTAATATTTCTTGTAAGATAGGTCTGGTAGCAATGAATTATCTCAGTTTTGTTAATCTAGGTATGTCTTTGTTTCACCCTCAGTTTTTAACCATAGCCATGGTGAATACAGGATTTTTTCTTCAGACATTTTATATGTTATTCCCCTTCTTCCTGGCCTCTATTGTTTCTGGTGAAAAATCAGCTGTTAGTCTCCTTGGGATTCCTCCTGCTTATAACAGTTTTAGAGGATCCCTTTTAAGCTCAATGGCTCCTCTTTCTTTATCTCACTTTCTGCTTTCAGCGTTTCCTATGTTTCTTTAGCTTTTGGCATCATTACTATGATGTGTCTGTGGATCTCTTTGTGTTTGTTTAATTTGAAGTTCCTTGAGTTCCTGCATGTGAGTAAAACTTTATTTGCTCTATGCTCTTGGGACCATTTCCAGAGACTGTGAATGCGTATTTTTGTTTTGTATAGTTTTTGAAATTTTCGCTAATTTTCAGAAGAGAACTTATTTCTCATGCACCTTCCTATGCAGGTCGGTGAGGGACATGTGGTACTCTGCAGATGCAGGTGGGTGAGGGACATGTTGTACTCCACAGATGCAGGTCGGTGAGGGGCATTTGGTACTCAACAGATGCAGGTGGGTGAGTGGTATTCCAGAGTGCCTCAGGGACTAGGCTGTTGCTAGCTCTGACATCTTACAGCTGCTCCATCTAGAGCACATTGTAGGTTGCACAACTGTAAGTGGACCACATAAGAGTAAGTTTCCCCCTGCAACTTGATCAGGAGCTAGGCAGACTTAGGGATAAGCCAATGCAACTGAGCTCGGTTCACGTGCCATGAGGTGACCCCTTTTCCAGCTCCCAGGGTATCTCCTGGGTCCGCAGAGAATTTGCTTCCTTCTGCCTCCTTGCTGGTTTGGACGTTGTTATTTAACCTGGCTCAGTCCTGCCTTCCAAATAGCTTTCCTTAAAAGTTCCCATAATATTTCCCACAATCAGAGGTCAAAGCAGTCAATAACGGAAATCAGTACCAACTTTGAAATAGATGAAGATGAGTTAGTTTCCACTGAGACAAGTTTCCAGTGGGGTTCTTGGGGCCTCAGACTTGGTGGTAGTGGGGTGCCAGTTGTGTGGAATTTGAAGCTAATCTGTAAGTTGAAAAATTTTGGATTTGGAGGATAGTCAGACTTCACTGGGATTTAGAAAGATAGAGGTCACCCTTCAACTGGTGGATGAGAACGTTTGTGTCCAACAAAAACACTTGGTGGAACATGACACGGCTTTCAATCATCACTTTGTCCATGCTGGGGGCTTGTGTGTGGTGCTGAACAAAACTGAATGTTCCACTTCTCTTTCCCCTGATTTTACTACTATGGAGAACATAGTTTAAATGGTGGCCAGTAATACGTTTCTCTAAACACTGCCATTGAATACATTAAGGTAATTTCTCAGGGGAAAGAAACACATGACGTGCTTATGGGAGCAGCATGTGGCTGATTTGTAGACTCCCTGAAAGATGGTTGGCATCATTCCAAGGTTTTCTAATTTTTATGTTTCATTTAGTCCAGTTTTGGACTTGACTATTCCAAGGTTTTCTGATTTTTGTTTCATTTAGTCCAGGTTACTATGACTTGTCTTATCCCACTGATATGTTTTGGATGTTTTCTCCCGTCCAAATCTCTCATTGAAATATGGCCTCCAATGTTGGAGGTGGGCCCACTGGAAGGTATTTTGTTCACGGGGACATATCCCTCATGGATGCTTGGTGCTGTCCTCATGGTCACGAGCAGGTTCTTACTCTGAGTTCACATAATATCTGTTTTTTTTTTTTTTTTTTTTTTTTTTTTTTTTGAGACAGTCTCATTCTGTCACCCAGGAGGGAGTAGAGTGGTGCGATCTTGGCTCACCACAAGCTCCACCTGCCAGGTTTATGCCATTCTCCTGCCTCAGCCTCCTGAGTAGCTGGGACTACAAGCACCTGCCACCACGCTGGCTAATTTTTTTGTTTTTTAATATAGACAGGGTTTCACCGTGTTAGCCAGGATGCTCTCGATCTCCTGACCTCATGATCCGTCCACCTCGGCCTCCCAAAGCACTGGGATTACAGGTGTGTGCCACTGCACCAGGCCAAGATCTGTTTATTTAAAGAGGCTGGCATCTCCCTAGTCTGTCTCTTGCTCACACTCACCATGTGATGGCCAGCTCACTCTTAGTCTTCTGCCATGATTGTAAGTTTCCTGAGGCTTCCTTAGAAGCAGATGCCAGAGCACCATGTTGCTTGTATAACCTGCAGAACTGTGAGCCAAATAAACCTCTTTCTTTATAAATTACCCAGCCTCAAGTATTTATTTATAACAATACAAATGGAGTAAAACACAGACCAACTGAAAGCATGAATACCTCTTTGAATCAGGCCACTTCACTGTGAACTATGGCTCGTAATCATCATCATACCCCAACAAAGACTATGAACAATAGGACTTGAATACTGTAGTACTCTCTCTTTTGCCTGAATTTTGAATTGTTTGATTTTAATGTTTTCTTTGCTGAAATTCCTGTTAAGGGGCGCATTTAAGTTTCTTGGTATTATCCTTCTGATAACCAGCATGATGTCATCACTAATGTATTGTACTCACTTAAAAGTCTTACATACTAGTATGCAGCACATTCTTTGTACATCAACTAGTCTCATTATGATTGGAGTAACAAAACCTTGAAGAAAACATGAGAATCATGTAATTATTTTGACATCGTGGACTATGAATACCGTACTGAGATCAAAAAAATTCACCATGATGATGACAGAAGGTGGTGTCACTGCTCATGCCTTTGGTCGGTCTCACAAAGCTCCCTCTCCAAAGTAGCTAATTGTTAAATCAAGTTGGGCATAAAGCTGCCTCTGTACATGGTGAACTGTAACATGACTGAATGTGAACACAAACTATAAACCAAGAGTATACATTCTTGTGCCAAGGAGCCAAGTCTTGGCTGAAGGTTCCTGCAGCCAGTCTCAGGCTGAAAGCTGCGAAAACATGACCAAATAAGGCAAATGCTGACTGCAGCCAACAAAGGCTCTCTGTATGTCATATTTTTCTGGCTGTAAATATAGCTTGCACCCCCTTGTGTGGTGGAGGATTCTGAATCACATTTGTCCTGAGTGCTACCCAGTTTATGAACCTTTTTCTGCCCGACTAAACTCTGTGAAATTGAACTTGTCTAAGGCTTTTATTTTAACACCCCAAGCCCTAACCCAGAACCAGACCCTAACCCTAATTTGAATCAGGCCACTTCACTGTGAACTATGGCTCTTACTCATCATCATACCCCAACAAAGACTATGACGAATAGGACTTAAATACTGTAGTATTGAGTGGCCAAGGGAGGACAGAGCATCCAGGAGAGAGAACTGAGTGTGGCTGGATACTACTCAGGGTCTGCGAGGGAGCTGAGGATGGAAAGGAACCACCAAGGGTCTCAGTGAGGTTGGAGGGGCAGCACTGAGCTGAGGGCTTGAGGAGACAGAGGAGGAGCAACCCTGAGCACTGGAAATGACTGGGAAGACCAGAGGCGGTGGTGGAGGAGGAGCATAAGCTGGCAGTCAGCAGGACAGGCCAGGGGTCTGCTGGTGGCAGCAGGGCCCCGGGTACTACCACAGGAGGCACCCCCTGTGTGCAGGTCCACGGGTTCCCAGTACCATTGCCTCTCACCAAGCATGTTAAAAATTCCAAGGGGTGTTGGACTGGCGCCTCGGTTCACACCTGTAATCCCAGCACTTTGGGAGGCCAAGGAGGGCAGATCACAAGGTCAAGAGATCAAGACCATCCTGGCCAACATGGTGAAACCCTATCTCTACTGAAAATACAAAAATTATCTGGGCATGGTGGTGCGCACCTGTAGTCCCAGCTACTCAGGAGGCTGAGGCAGGAGAATTGCTTGAACCCGGGAGGGAGAGGTTGCAGTGAGCTGAGATTGCGCCACTGTACTCCAGCCTGGTGACAGAGCAAGACTCCATCTCAAAAAAAAAATTCCATGGGGTGTTTTAAGGACCCCCACGTCAGACCCACCCAGGACCCTAAGTCCGGTCTCAGACGTGGGCCCAGGCAAGAGGTGCATGGCCTGTGGTCCTTGCAAAGGTTGGCACCTGGGTCCCCAACAGGCATAGGAGCACAGCTTTGGCCAGAAGAGATTGGCAATTTCAGCCATGGGACATTTCAGGTGGCAACTGGAGCTGTGGCCACCCTGGTGACACTGAATCAGGCTCGCTGTGCCCTTCACACAGACACCCAATTACTAAGATGAGGGGCTTTGCACTAAATATTTGTTCACTAAGTTAAAGTCCACTGTTTGCATCCAATTATTTTTGTTATTGTTTTGCAAACCTAAAAGTCTGTATCAATATCTCATGGCTAGATTTCTGAAGCAAAAGCTACAGGATCTTTGTTTGTACGAGTGTGTATGTGTGTGTTTATGTGTATGTACGCATATTTTCTTACGTGTTTTTGATCACAGGCAACAAATTTGGCTTAAACTTAAAGAGTCCTCATAAATTCAATAATTCGCCCAAAAGTTTTTCATGTTCACATGACTTATTGATCAAGCTATTTCATACTTATCTCTGCCACATACTATAAGGTGTCAGAATTTGGCATAAAATTTATAAAATTGACCAGGCGCAGTGGCTCACCCCTGTAATTCCAACACTTTGGGAGGCCTAGGCGGTTGGATCATGAAGTCAGTTCGAGACCAGTCTGGCCAATATGGTGAAACCCGTCTCTACTAAAAATACAAAATCTAGCTGTGGTGGCGGTCACCTGTATTCCCAGCTACTTAGGAGGCCGAGGCAGGAGAATCTCTTGAACCCAGGGGGCAGAGGTTGCAGTGAGCAGAGTGGTGCCACTGCACTCCAGCCTGGGTGGCTCAGTGAGACTCCGTCTCAAAAAATGAAAAGTTATAAAACTATAAAGCCAGCCACCAAACAGAATCATCTCTGCTTTTGTGGTTTTTAAACCAATAAGATGTTAATGTTGCGGTTTAATGAAAACAGCTAAATCTTAAATTATTGGTAAAATAACCATGTATCTTAAGGTTCTTAGGTAATCACCTGAAACTGACAGGCTACAAAAATAGGGTGGACGTGAAGTAGGTAGCTACGCCACCCTGGCAACACTATAGGACAAAATAAAAATTGGGTGGCCACTGACTTGGCCAGAAGGGGGACAGTGTTAACCAAAAGTGGAAATCTAAGGCCCCCCAACAGCCATCTGAATGGACCCATCCTCTTGGCAGAGGCCATTCCGGAGTTAACCTGAAACTCTAGTTCAGGCCATGATGAAAACGGGCTTGGAAATGCCTCATTGTACCCCTCCAGCATTAACATCAATACAAACCTCAAGTGTAACAAGAAACATTTACAATCTATTTTCTCTGAGGCCTGTGACCTGGTGGCTTCATCTGCATGATAAAACCTTGGTCTTCATAACTGCTTATTGTAACACAGGCATTCCTTTCTTCTAATAACTCTTTCAATCAATGTTTAAATTTATCTATGACCTGGAAGCTCCCCACCCTACCAGATCAAACCAATGAAAATCTTACATATATTAATTGATGTCTCATTTCTCCCTGAAATGTATAAAAGTGGTTGCACGTGGTGGCTCATGTCTGTAAACCCAGCACTTTGGGAGGCCGAGGCAGGTGGATCACAAGGTCAGGAGTTCGAGGACAGTCTGGTCAACATGGTGAAATCCCGTCTCTACTAAAAATACAAAAATTAGCCGGCTGTGGTGGCGGGCCCTAGTAATCCCAGTTACTCTGGAGACTGAGGTAGGAGAATTGCTTGAACATGGGAGGTGGAGGAGGTTGCAGTGAGCCGAGATTGAGCCACTGCCCTCCAGCCTGGGTGACGGAAGAGACGAGAGAGACTCTGTCTGAGAAAAAAATAATAATGTATAAAAGCAGGCTGTATCACAACCACCTTGGGCACATGTCATAAGAACCTCCTGAGTCTGTGTCATGGGTATGTTCTTAACCTTGGCAAAATTAAGTTTCTGAACTAAGACCTGTCTCAGATATTTTGGGTTCACATAGGAAATAAAAATATAAGCATCGTCTACATGTTGTTTCATAACATGTTTTACTCATTTAAGGACATGTCATCAATACTGACTAATTTGCATTGAATTCTCGCTATGTCCCAAGTACAGTGTGTCCTGGGCACTTTACATTAAAACCCATTTAATCTTCCTAAAAATCCATTTTACAGATGGGGGATGTGGGGCTCAGAGCCCTTGATAATTTACCCAAGGCCACAGAGACAGTAAGTATAGAGCTCAGATGTGAGTCCAGGTGAGCTTGCTGCCAGCTGGAACTCTTAGCCATCACTCTACACTGCCTCTCTGAGAGAGAAGATCCTTGAAATCCATTTTTATTCTCCTAAAGGTTGTGGAGTTGTCATTTGAATGCATGTGAATAAATTTAAATAACTAATTTCTTACTGATAGACATCCAGATAATTACAGATCAATAACTGCATGCATCTGTGTGCATTCCAAATATTTCCTTTTGATAAGTTCCTGGTAGTGGGATTGCTGCATGAAAATTTATCTTAAGTGCAAAAAGAAGTTAGAGCTTCCCAGAGCTGTGTGAAGGAGGAAGATCTGTGTTCCCAGCCTGCTTTAGGGAGTTAGCATTGATCTCGTGGTTTGGTAAGAGTGTGGACTGCAGATGCAGCCTCGTAACCCACAGCTATGTTCAGAGTGCTCCTCTGCCGTGGGTACTGCATCCCATGGGAGGGTGTGAAAGCACTGGTAATGGTGGTGGGAGTGCACCCCAGTTCTTACAGTGCACCCCAGTTCTTACTGTGCACTCCAGTTCTTACTGGCTGGCACTATTGGCTCAACCTGCATCTGGTGTTGCCCTTCAAGCAGCAGTGAATAAAGTGGTAAAAAAAGAAAAATCTTTAGAAGAAAGGAACTCCTATGTGGATTATGAGATTAGGGCTAATGAAAAGCATGTCCCCAAAGAAGAAACGGGTATCCCAGCCCCTCTTCAATCATGAATAAGCTTTTGAATGGTTACCTCATTTGTAATTTCAGGTATATGTTTAATATCTACGAAAGGATTTGGAGCCCAATATTCAAACTGATCTGTTTACATACCTCCATATTTCTAATCCCAATTCAGATTTTCTTTAGCTGGTTGTGTTCCTGGACCAAATCAAGATTCTGGCTGCTTGTTCTCATGGTCCAGTAATGAGATGCAGACAAACTTGGAAAGAAGAGATTTTATTTCTGTAACCAGGTATAGGGAGAAGGCTGGGGAAAACATCACCAGACAAACTCAAAGTTACCAAGTTTTTCCAGAGCTTATATATCTTCTAAGCTGTATGTCTGTGTGTAAGTGTGCATTTTCCTAAGGACAAAAGTGACTGATTCCACCTAATCTATAACTAAGTTCTGGGTCCTGGAGACCTTCCTCCGGAGCCTCAGTAAGTTTGCCTAATCTAGATGGGGTCCTGGTGCTGGAGGTGATTACTGTTATCTTGTCTCCAGCTAAGGTGTGGAGGTCTGGGGGAGTTTCTTCAGACATCCAACAGAAGTTTTTAATCCTAAATGCATCCTGGTGTGAAGAATGTAAGAAATTCTTTGTTATCTTGTTGCGCTTCAAGGCCCAGGAAAGGCCTAGGCCAGACTTTTTGTCTGCTATTGTTATGTTCCAGCCTTTGTGTAAGGGCAACTCCTCGTTCAGCCTTTAATATTTAACCTAACCAGTTCAGTCAGTGTGGAAGCTCTTGTCATGGAGTCCTTCCTGTTCAACTGTTAATGAGACCTGATCTGCCACAGTTTTGCTTGTCTTTTCCAGTATTTCTGAGATCAGCTGGAACCATCAACCTGCACAGGAAACAGAGTCTCTCTAAAAGAAAGAAAATACTCTTGTTTGGGAATAGAGCATTGAATAGAAATATGTGTGCCATAGTAAACCATGTGCATATGCAGGGAGGTAAAGACTCTGCTAGAACATTTGTATGTTGCTGTAAAGAAATGCCTGAGGCTGAGCTATTTATAAAGGAAAGAGGTTTAATTGGCTCATGGTTCTACAGGTCTGATAGGATGCATGGTTCTGACATCTGCTTCTGGTGAGAGCCTCAGGAAACATTTATTCATGGCAGAATTTGACGTTGGAGCAGGCACATCACATGGTGAGAGCAGGGGCAACAGAGGGAGGGGAGAGATGCCACACCTTTTCTTTTTTCTTTTTTAGACGGAGTCTCACTCTGTCACTGAGGCTGGAGTGCAGTGGCGTGATAACGGCTCACTGCAACCTCTGCCTCCTGGGATCAAGCGATTCCTGTCTCAGCCTCCTGAGTAGCTGGAATTACAGGCATATGCCACCAAACCCAGCTATTTTTTGTTATTTTTAGTAGAGAGAGGGTTTCACCATGTTGGCCAGGCTGGTCTCAAACTCCTGATCTCTAGTACTCTGCCCAACTCAGCCTCCCCAAGTGCTGGGATTACAGGCGTGAGCCACTGCGCCCAACCTCCACACACTTTTAAACAACCAGATCTCACATGAATTCAGGGTGAGAACTTATCACGAAGGGGATTGTGCTAAACCATTCATAAAGGACCTGCCCCCATGATCCAGTCACCTCCCCAGGCCCCACCTCCAACAATGGGGATTACATTTCAACACGAGATTTGGAGAGGGCAAACACCCAAATTACATCAAAGACAAAGGTTTTCAAAGGAAAAAATGAAGAAGGTTACATAATTGTTTTGAAATAATTATCCTTGGCTACAAAAATCAATAACGATCGTGACGCCTGTCCATGGTTGGAAGGCAGTAGTTACTGGGCAGGTGTCCTTACAGAATTTTTTTTTTTGTATAACGTTGTCATGGACTTTGTGCAAGGTTGTAATTTTTGTAGAATCTTTTTCATCATCAGGCATACACACATGAGAATGCTCTCTTCATGGCCTTCCCCAGCTTGAGCTGTCAGAATTTTGTTATCACTAGTGACTCTATTTTGATTGAGACAAATTTCACGTTTCCCCTCCCTTTTGTGCTCCAGATCTTTTTCCAAAAGCATCACTGATCAATCATCTTTTAGTTCTGTTTTGATGGCCCTTGGTGCTAGGATGGACCTATTTTGGTTTTTGGTCTCGTCCCACATTGAGGTGGGGTTAATTGGCACTTAAGAGTCAGTGTCAAAATCCTTTTAGGCACATTTGGAGCAAGAAGGGAGATTTGAAGGGAGTAGTTTTCAGGCTAAGTCTACCTGGAGTTCATTATTAAGTTCAATTTTGTCTGTTTTGTAGTCTTTTGCTATCATCTCAAAGTGCTGTACCGGCATTATTCTGTTAGGAGTTGAACTTTTGAAAAAAAACTTAAGTAATGGATACACAGTTTAAAAAGGGAAATTATGAACTAAATAGTAATAGGACAATTCTAGTTTGCATAATGGCTTTGAGCCATTAATCTCGCCTTACATAGAGCTAATTGAATAAATCAAATGACAATAAGGAATCAGGTGAGATGGTGTAACCATGAGGCCTGTCTTCTTCTTTTGTGTCTATAAATTTCTAATTTCCAGGAGAAATTTATCCAGGTACAGCATACAGTATTGACAATAACATAGTCATTTTCTCATTGAACCAAAGGATACTTATGAGCAGAAGCTATTGATTGTGAATTTTCATTCACATCATTATTCTGCCAAGTGAAAAATGTAGCATTAAGGAGGAGGAAGGGTAAAAATCTCATCACATGCAGTCCTGTTCTAATGACCTGGGAAAATCTGTTCTAATGACCTGGGAAAATCTGTTCTAATGATCTGGGACAATCGGCATGAAAACATTAACTTCTCCTGCTTTGTAGTTTGAATGTCTTTGGTCATGACATCAGGTGGTTTGGTGAACTCTTTCTGTGATCCATACACCAGGCACATGTTTATTCTTTAAAATTTATCTAGTTTCAGCTCATAGGGCTTTAGTAACAGAGCAACTTTTGCTTTTAGTTGGAGAGTTGTTGCCAAATTTGGAGAAATACATTAGGAAAATTCAAGATCTAGTATAATCTACATGTAGATAACAAGAACTTGAAAAGCATGCACAGGTTTACAATCTACTCACAGATGCATTATAGTTTTTCTTTAGAAACAGAACTTTCTCTCTACATTAATCTACAAAAAGTTCAGGTTTAAAAACCTCTTAAGCCAAAGCAAGGGAGGTTTTAGATTTTACTTACAATCTTAAAGTTCTTGGGCCTGCCAGGATGTGACAATTTTTACTCATTCACTGTCAGGCGGAAGCACTGGAAGCCAGGCACTTTATGCACCTTCTTAAATATGAGATTTCAGTCAAAGCCTTAATAATATAACCAATGTTTTCAATGACATTCTGTTTATGAAGAGAAACAGATATTTATTGAGTAAAAATAAAAGAATACTCACAAATGTTTTCCAAATTTTGGAGGAATCAAGTAGGGAGACAAAATGAATGCTTCCATCTTTGTTCAAAAAATTATACTTTAGTGAATTTTTGTAAACTGTAGGTAGCTTACGAGATAAAGTTTTCTTAAATCTGGAAAACAAAATATTTCACAGCCAATAATGTTTCAAATAAAAGTCATAAAAACATCATCTTCGTGAACCACTTAATTTCATGTAGTTGTTTTGTTTAATCTTGATTAACAGTTTTATAAACCCATCAGTTTATTCATTTAAGCTCTGGAGATTTTTTTTTAGTCTACTGATCTTAAATTACCAAAAATTTGGCCAGGTGCAGTGGCTCACATCTGTAATCCCAGCACTTTGGGAGGCTGAGGCAGGTAGATCACTTCAACTTGGGAGTTTGAGACCAGCCTGGGCAATATGGAGAAATCCCATCTGTACAAAAAAATACAAAAATTATCCAGGAGGCTGAGATTAGAGGATTGGGAGGTAGAGGATGCCATGAGTCAAGACTGTGCCACTGTATACCAGCTTGGGCAACAGAGTGAGACCTTGTCTCAAAAAATTTATCAGAATTCTGTGTTCAAGAGTATTTGTTATTTTCTATGAAAAGCTGTTTTGGACTACAGCAGATTGCAAATGCTTTTAGAGAAATTTTCAAAACAACTGTGAATGACAAAAACTTGGAATAGCCATGATTTAAAATCTGATCAAATGTCCCAATTGACAAGGAAACTTGGTTATTTTTATTACATGCAACCAGAATCATGACTGACTACATCACATCAGGACCATCAGACTTTTATTAACTTCAAGTTATATTGGAGTAAAACACTGTTTTTCTAGATTTTTCAGGATATAAATTTCAGCATCAGGACATAACAGCAGAGTTGGAACCACAGAAAAAAAAGGTACAAGAGTTGACAAAAAAAGAAAAGTTATCACCTCAGCCAAGATGTTGTGCCTTTTTAGGCAAGAAAAAGGGGGAGCTGAATCTCCACCCTCAAACTAGGCAAATTAAATAGATCTCAGAAAAATATTTGACAGAAATGGAAATTGTCTGTAGTTTAGAAGACGGCTGTTAAGGGAACAGATTTCAGAATTAAAACTCAAAACCTCTTGCAATTTTATGAAAACTAAATCAATACTTTAAGAAAACCTTGTTGTTCTAACATAGGGGACCATATTTTTTCAGTTTTGTATTAGTGTATTTTTAATGCCAAAGCTCAGTCCTTAGAAAGACTTATAATTTAATTTTCTTCTGATCATAACAAACTTGGTCACATGCAAAACATCTTGCATAAATTCTCTTTTCACAAATGAGTTACTCAGACCATTGTTGACATGCTTGGGCTTTCCACTTTATCCTGTACTTTCCCTCTTAAATAACTAGCCATTTTAGTTTAGGATGAAAATTTACCACACAAGATTCTTTGTCATGTGAAATATTTCTTTTCTTTTCAACCTTCTCCTATCTCCATCTCCCTATCAATAACTTTCTTCACATCTCTCTCTTCTACTTACTGGTTCTTCTTTAACATTTCACTGTCTTTCCTGAATCAATATTTTGAAACAAGCTTTAAATAACCTTCAAATTATATAAAATTATTATTTCTTTCTCAATAAAGAACATGTTTTTATGCATTTCTTATACATTTTTTCTTATTAAAAACTCATCCTACTTTTTAAGGCACACTTTTATATAGAATTATATATGTTAGGCCAGGCATGTTGGCTCACACCTGTAATCCCAGCACTTTGGGAGGCTGAGGCAGGAGAATTGCTGGAGCGCAGGAGTTTGAGGTTGCAGTGAGCTATGATCATGCTACTGCATTCCAGCCTGGGTGACAGAGTGGGATCCTGTTCCCCCACACCACAAAAAGAATTATCCGTATTAATTACAATTTTATTATTTTATTTTATTTGAAACAAGTCTCACTCTGCCACCCATGCTGGAGTGCAGTGGCACAATCACAGTTCACTGCAGCCTCAACCTCCTGGGCTCAAGCAACCCTCCCACCTCAGCCTTCCCAGTAGCTGGGACTACAGGCTTGTGCCACCATGCCTGGCTAACTTTTGTATTTTTTGTAGAGATGGCATTTTACCATGTTGCCCAGAGTGGTTTCAAACTCCTGGGCCCAAGCGATCCACCCGCATCGGCCTCAGAAAGTGCTGGGATCATAGGCATGAGCCACTGTACCTGGCCTATATTAATTAGAATTTTAAACTCGTAGTAACCTTAAATTACAGTGAAAACCTAGGGAGCAAGAAATCTCTCACATATCAGTATTATCAGTATTTTATGAGTGAGTGCAATTTTATAGCAACATAGAAAGTTATATGGGTATAAAAATCCATATAACATATCCACATAAATATAACTCTAGGAAAAAGTTAACATAGCAACCAAAATTATGACTAATAATGTAGGGACCAGCCCCACAGGGTCTGTGGGGTTTTTCTCCCCATGTGTGGAGATGAGAGATCATAGAAATAAAGACACAAGACAAAGAGATAGAAGAAAAGACAGCTGGGCCCAGGGAACAACTACCACCTAGACACAGAGACCAGTAGTGACCCCGAATGCCAGGCTGTGCTGTTATTTATTGGATACAAGACAAGGGGGCAGGGTAAGGATTGCGAGCCATCTCCAATGATAGGTAAGGTCATGTGGGCCACGTGTCCACTGGACGGGGGCCCTTCCCTGTTTGGCAGCTGAGGTGGGGAGAGAGAGACAGAGAGGAGACAGCTTATGCCATTATTTCTGCATATCAGAGACTTTTAGTACTTTCACTAATTTTGCTACTGCTATCTAAAAGGCAAGCCAGGTGTATGGGAGGGAACATGAAAGTGGACTAGGAGTGTGACCACTGAAACACAGTGTCACAGGGAGATGGTCAGGCCTCCAGATAACTGCAGGTGGGAATGACTGACGTCATGCCTTCCACAGGAGGTGGAGGAACAGAGTCTTCTCTAAACTCCCCCGGGGAAAGGGAGACTCCATTTCCCAGTCGGCTAAGTAGGGGTGCTTTTCCTTGGCACTGATGCTACTGCTAGACCATGGTCCCTTTAGGTCATGGGCATCTTCCCAGATGCTGGTGTTACCGCTAGACCAAGGAGCCCTCTGGTGGCCCTGTCCGGGCATAACAGAAGGCTCACACTGTTGTCTTCTGGTCACTTCTCACTATGTCCCCTCAGCTCCCATCTCTGTATGGTCTGGATTTTCCTAGGTTTTTATTGTAGAGCAAGGATTATTATAATATTGGAATAAAGAGTAATTGCTACAAACTAATGATTAATGATATTCATATATAATCATATCTATGATTTATATCTAGTATAACTATTCTTATTTTATATATTTTCTTTATTACACTGGAACAGCTCTTGCCCTCGGTCTCTTGCCTCGCACCTGGGTGGCTTGCTGCCCACATAATAACAGATTTCCAGAAGAAAAAAATATAAAACCATCTGACCAGTAAACCCTGGTAAAATGTACACGGACCATTTTGAAGATATTTCTATTTTTATTTTACCACTAATTTTAGAATAGTTTATTTATCACAGATTTAATTAAGTCACATGAATTAAAAAGCATTTAGGTTAATTTTTGTATATTTCATAAGGTCATTTATCTAAATAGACTTTCTTAAGGGATTTCTGGCTCACTACACCAGATTTTACCATGTAGGCAAAACATATAACAAAATACATGTGTATATACATAAACACATCTGACCACATATACACACACAAATAACAGATCTTATGTTTTTTTATTTTAGGCTTTTAGTCATGAGATAGTAATACTAATCCACCAGTTTATAAAAGACAGTTTTATATATTTTTTGGCAAAATGTAAAACATGGCTAAAATTTATTTGCCGCAAAAGATAATCTAATAAGTGTTGTGAACCACAGTTTGGGTAAAGCAGTTTCCATGGCAGTTTGATTTTTTAAAAAACTTTTTTCACCTTTTCTTAAGTTTCAAATGAGTTTAGGGTTATATTTTCAATATTTACATTTAAGCTGGGACTGGATAAATTGTATAAGAAAAATAAAATATCCATGTAACCTTGAATTAGAAGCAAATCTATTTTCTCTTTGCCAGTGTGATTTGCTTGACTAGCAAGTGTGGACAAGAAAGATTTTTAGCGGTTTTAAATTATTTATAGTTTTTATTTTTTGCTTTTGTGTGCAGAAACAGCAAAATTTTTGTGCTAGACATACCTTAGGTTATTGCTGTACGGTCAAGATTTTGACCTGCTTGATCTGAGAGCCTAATTTCATAAATATTTATCTAGTTATTTTTCTCTTACATTAACTTCTAATTAAGTATTCTGTTGTTGCACACAATTGTAAGTCAGGTAAACCTAAATTTATATTTCTTACTTTTTTCTTAACCCACGGTATTTTGGAATTAAATTTATATTTCAAAGATTATCTCACTTGTTGATATCATGAAGCTGTTGTAATTTATAAAACCATTAAGTTGAATACTCTTTAAGATTTGGGGCACAGGCCAGAATTCCATAAACAGTGAATGGGCAGAAGAAGAACCGAGAGAGGTATACAGAGAACTTAGAAAACTCGACATGTTAACTCTATAATTGCAGGTTTTTCAAATAATGACTATTGGAGATCTGAATTTTCCTTGATGTAATTTTCCCAGCAAGGTAAAAATATGAGCCATAATATATAACCAGCTGGAGTCCCAGAAAACCTAGCATGCCTTAATGTTTGAGAATGCGATTCTGTTTTGTTTTTTGTTTTTTTTTTTAGATGGAGTCTTGCCCTGTCGACAGACTCTCATGCAGTGGCACAATCTCGGCTCACTGCAACCTCCACTTCTCAGGTTCAAGCTATTCTCCTGCCTCAGCCTCCTGAGTAGCTGGGACTACAGGCACATGCCACCACGCCTGGCTATTTTTTTTTTTTGTATTTTAATATAGACGAGGTTTCACCATGTTGGCCAGGATGGTCTTGATCTCTTGACCTCGTGATTCACCCACCTTGGCCTCCCAAAGTGCTGGGATTAGAGGCGTGAGGCACCGCACCTAACAACCATTCTGTTTTTCATTAATCTTTCAAGAGTAGAGAAAATCCTATAAATCCTGTCATGGAATTTCCGGGGTTTAGGCCAGTGTTTTAAAGGGTGACAACTGCCCTGGCAGCTTTTAGTTAGCCATCCTGACCCACCATTTAGAATGTTTACTTTTGCATTTGGGAGAATTTCAGAAACAAGGATAAAGAGTCAAACAAAATCAAAAGAAACCAAGATAAGATTGTTCACAAAAATTTTAACCTAGACATGTAGATCAAAATATTAAACTAGGCATTCAGACCAATTTGAAAGTAAATTCACTAGAATATATGCCTCACAGACAGAATGTAAAATCTGTAGAAACCAAGAGTAATCCAGAAAGACACTGATCTTTATTCCAGAAAGGACTTACCAGAAAAGACAAAAAGTCTTTTATCATCTCTGGAGAGACTTGTGGTCCTTCATTAAGGTAGCTTATCCAAACCAGTTTCCAAATGGTATAAAAAAACCTCTACCAAAAGGAGGGAGGCTTAGCCTGAAAGAAGACAGGAAAAACAGGCAGGAAAAAACAAGCTGCAAAAGAAAGCAAAGAGCTCAAAGGGTTCAAAGGTGTATACTGCACACTGGTTCTGGGAGTAATTCCTCTCAATCTTGGTTTCTGAAGAAGAACTCAGATTCTTGGGGGGTGGTAAATAATTATACTTTCTGTGGTTAATTAGGGAGAACATCTGTGGGCTTTTGGGTTAAAGGATCACTGATATCATGAAAACCAGGGCAGCCTCTCCCAAGAATACTCTGTTCCTCCTTGTCTTCTTCATTCACAGACAAGATTCCCTTCATCTGAGAAAGCCAATTCTCATCCAAAGGATCCACCTCACACAAGTCCAGGGTAATTATAATGTATTGGCAACACCCACTCACTATATTGTACATTTTGAAAAAGCTATGAATTTCACTACATCTGCATTTAACAGTTCAGCACAAAAATGCAGATGCTGTGTGCAGAGTCTTTTTCTTGGAATGCTGATTTCTTGGGCTCAGTGCTTTCTCCAGAGGTTTTGCACAATTTGGGGATTTTCTCTACAGAACGGAGAAGGCTTTTTTTTTTGCTAAATACAAAAGACAAGCTCTTGAGAGGAAAAAATCATGTTTCTATATAAAAGTAAATGTGATTCCCAAAGGCCTACTTTGAAAGAAAAGGGAAAAAACTGAGGTGTCATTCCAGACAGTGTGATAGGTATGTCAACAAATGATAGATATGTCCAACGGACATATCCAAATACACGCTTCGTAAACATGGATCAATTTTTATTTATTCAAAAAATCTCTTTGTGGGCTGCTTTCCAAAAAGGCAAAATCAATTATTTTGAGCGGGTAGAAAATCTTCAAATTTTGAGGGTAAATTGGAAGTTGAAGAACAATCAAGTCATTCATAGCAGGGTCTGATAAGTCAGGAGGATGAATGAATGGAAAGAATGCTGTTGGTGTCCAAAGGTAAACCTGGCTTGCTTCTGGCAAGTGGCGTCTAAGGCACATACAATGTGATAGCTTTGAAGGGCAGAAGGTCTTGACATTGACTCTCCACAATGATATGGAGATCAGTGTGAGTGCCGGCATGTTGACTCCTGGGAGACTACTAAGCATTTGCCACCTCCTCCAAGATGGAGGTCCACAAGAAGCCTCCAGAGCCATTCACAGGTGTTGGCAACTTCTAGCATCAGTGCAGCTCTCCTTAACTGCTCAGCTGGAGACACGGACAATATTGGCAATACAGTATTCTTGTGGGATTTGTTTGCTTCCAGCGTAACAGATGAATTTTTCTCCAACAAACACAACAATTCATTTTCAACAGGCACCAGTTCCTCCTTAATATGGAAGATTCACCATGTCTTAGTGTGGGTTCCCCCAGGAGCAGAATTTAAGACAAAGATTTCAGTGCACATGGTTTATTTGGGACATGATCCCAAGGAGACTGGAAGCATTGGTCAAGGAGGGACAGAATGGGACAGGGAACAGGAAGAAGACAAAATAAGGATGTGTTGCCAAGTGAGTTACACTGCAGATGACTGGTGCTTACTCCCATGACAGAACTCTGGGGAGCCACGTCGAACATGGACCTCAGAGTTACACAGCCAAGGAACAACGGAACTGAGGCATGTATTCTCCAGTCCAGTCAGTAGTAGAAGGCTTTTCTGCGGTGGGGAATGGAACCCAGGCCAAGTGGGCTGTAGCTGCAGAGAAGGGGATACACAACCTTAGGTAAGAGGGTGCACATGCCAGCCATTGGATGTGGGGCTGGAGGAAGACATTCGGCTGGGCTCCTACCGTGTATTCTATTATACTGTTAGGGTTAGTAAGAGACAGCTGGTGATGATGTTGTCAGTTAAGAATAGCCATCATTTGCTTAGTGAAGTGTGGAATTGTCCTGGGAGTCTAAATTGCTAAGCTATTTTCACACATAACTCCCACAGCTTGTCCACAGCTAATTTCAGGATATATGTCAACAGGTAAGAATAAATGTGATATACTGGTATATGTTACATCAGTGGTCCCTAGCCTTTTTTGGCACCAGAAATGGGTTTCATGGAAGACAATTTTTCCACAGATGGCAGGGAGGATAGTTTCAGGATGAAATTCTTCCACTTCCAATCATCAGGCATTAGATTCTCATAAGTGCATGCAACCTAGATCTCTCACATGTGGAGTCCACATTGGGGCTCGTACTCCTATGAGAATCGAATGCTGCAGCTGATCTGATAGGAGACGGAGCTCAGGTCATAATGCTTGCTCAGCCACCACTCACCTCCTGATGTGCAGCCCGGTTCCTCAGAGGCCACGGACACATACCTGTCCATGGCCCAGGGGTGGGGACCCCTGAGTTACATTATATATACTGTTAATATCTGGCTGTACAAAACAGTATTGTGAAAACATTTATAGTCCTGTTTGAGGGTCTTTTCTGAAGCTTTCCATTTACAAATAGAAAAGAATATTAAGGCCAGGCATGGTGGTTCATTCCTGTAATCACTGCACATTGGGAAGCTGAGGCAGGAGGATCCTTTGAGCCCAGGAGTTTGAGATCACCCTGGGAAACATGGAAAAACCCTCTGTGTACAAGAAAATACTAAAATACACCAGGTGTGGTGTCACATGCCTGTGGTCTCAGGTACTTAGGAGGTTAAGGTGGGAGGATCACTTCAGCACAGGAAGTTGAGGCTGCAGTGAGTTGTGATTGCACCAGCCTGGGTGATAGAGTGTCACCCTGTCTCAAAAAAAAATATTAAAACAGATACTGTGGTTTCTATCTTTTTGGTCCTCTCATAGCAAAAATCAACAAAAGAAACTAATGTATAAGCTAGCAAAATACAGCAAGCACTAGGAGTTTTCTATTTCAGTGCCTTAGGCAATCTGACAGATAATGTAGTTCAAAAAAAGTGTTTGCTGTACTGTGAAATGTACATTTAGATATTCAGACAGCCTCTTGACACAGACATTGCTATAGTGGTTTCTGGCATAATTTAAGGCTTTTTATTCTTGATTAACAGTGAGATGCCATCCGCCTCAGTGTGTGCCCTAAGAAATCAAAGAGATGCCAGGAAGGAAATGTATTAATGAGGAGTATAAAATTCTACTTTTAAAAAACATCTTGGCCGCATGCAGTGGCTCATGCCTGTAATCCCAGCACTGTGGGAGGCTGAGGCGGGTGGATAGCCTGAAGTCAGGAGTTCGAGACCATCCTGGCCAACATGATGAAACCCCGTCTCTACTAAAAATACAAAAAATTAGCTGGGCATGGTGGTGCATGTCTGTAATCCCAGCTACTCGGGAGGCTGAGGCAGGATAATCGCTTGAACCCGGGAGAAGGAGGTTGCGGTGAGCTGAGATCGTGCCATTGCACTCCAGCCTGGGCAATAAGAGTGAAACTCCATCTCAAATAAATAATAATAATAATAATAACCACGGATTTTTGCAAGGCTACAAAGCAAAGGGAATGCCTATACACTCTTGGTAGGAATGCAAATTAGTTCAGCCACTGTGGAAAGTGGTTTGAAGATTTCTCAAAAAACAGAACTATCATTAGACCCAGCAATCCCATTACTGGGTGTATACCCAAAAGAAAATAAATTATAATTATTCTACCCCAAAACACATACTCTAATATGTTCACAATAGCAAAGACATGCAATCAACCCAGGTGCACATCAATGATGAATAGGACAAAGAAAACGTGGCATGTGCACACCATGGAATACTATGCAGCCATAAAAAATAATGAAATAATGTTCTTTGCAGCAACATGGATGCATCTGAAGCCCATCATCCCAAGCAACTTAATGCAGAAACAGAAAACCAAATATCGCAGGTTCTCATTTATAAGTGGGAATGCAATCTTGGGTACACACAGACGTAAACATGGGATCAATAGACACTAGCGACTCCAAAGGAGGGAGGAGGGAATGGGGCAAGACCTGAGAAGCTTCCTATTAGTTATTATGTTCGCTATCCCGTTGATGAGATCAATAGAAGCCCAAACTTAAGCACCATGCTATATACCCTTGTAACAAATCTGCACATGTACCCCTGAATCTGAAATAAAAAAACAAAATAGAAATGTTTTATTAGTCTAAATCCTGTCAACATGACATAAAAATAATTATCAGGTTGGGCACAGTGGCTCATATCTGTAAACCCAGTGCTTTGAGAAGCAAAGGCTTGAGGCCAGGAGTTCGAGGCCAGCGTAGTCAACATAGCAAGACCCCATTTTTACTAAAAAGAAAAAAAAGAAAAGAAAATACTCAAAATAAAGAGCAATCGCCTTTCTTACTCCTTCTTCTCTCTTCATTCCTACACCAGTATTATTTTTCTAAATGACAACAATTATCAATATTTATTAAGATTGTGAAATTCTAGTACTTTTCAATAATAAATATCAACTAATTGCATTGTTTTTAAAATCAATATTTCAAAAACAAATAAATATTTCACATGGTTATAAAAGCACAAAACATTGATGAAAGTTTAATAAAAACATGAAAATAAATTATTTCAAATAAATATAAAGTTAATATAATTTAATTGAAGGAAAAACTACTTGAAAATAATTAAGGTTTTTCAGGTTCAAATCAACAAATTCCATGATCAACAATTTAAAATATTAAGGTCTGGTAAGTGATAGAATTAATGCCTAAATATGTCTAAATGACAACATTGCTAACCGATGTTTTTGTTTATTTATTTATTTATTTTTGAGATGGAGTCTTGCTCTGTTACCCAGGCTGGATTGCAGTGGCACGATCTCAGCTCACTCCACACTCTGCCTCCCACGTTTAAGCGATTCTCCTGTCTTAGTGTCTTGAGTAGCTGGGATTACAGGCAAGTGCCACCGCGCCCGGCTAATTTGGTATTTTCAGTAGAGACGGGGTTTCGCAATGTTGGCCAGGCTGTTCTCGCTCTCCTGACCTCAGGTAATCTGCCCATCTCAGCCTCCCAAAGTGCTGGGATTACAGGCGTGAGCCCCCACGCCTGGCCTGATGTTATTTAATTTTTATTTTAAAGAAAAATCCCTAAGCAATTCATGGTGCTAAGTACAAATAAGTCAAAAATAAAGCACATAACTTTCTTTCCTGCAGGACCTCATAATTTAGTTGGGATGACAAGATTAAAAATAATAGTGATAAACCCTATGATAGAAGGAAAAAATGAAACTAAAGGAGTGTGGAGGAATAAGGTCTCTATGAGTTTTGCAGCCACTTTGTAGACATGACACTTGAATTTTAAATAAGTTAAAAGAAAAAAAATTGACAACTTCCAAACCTTTCTCTCTCACCCAACTTTATTCCTATGTATTATTTCTATTAATGATTATCATAAATTAGGACTTCTAAATTAGTAAATATTGGCCGGGTGCAGTGGCTCACATCTGTAATCTCAGCACTTGGGGAGGCCGAGGCAGGTGGATCACAAGGTCAAGAGATCAAGACCATCCTGGCCAACAGGGTGAAACCCCATCTGCACTAAAAATGCAAAAAAAACAAAAAAAAACAGGTGGGCATGGTGGTGGGCCCCTGTAGTCCCAGCTACTCGGGAGGCTGAGGCCGGAGAATCGCTTGAAACCATGAGGTGGAGGTTGTGTGAGGCAAGATCGCGCCACTGCACTCCAGCCTGGAGACAGAGCAAGATTCCACTTCAAAAAAAAATTCGTAATATGCTTAAAAATAATAAATTCAGTTCATGCTAACAAAATAGTATTTTAAAATAAAACAAGTCCTCAAATAGTTTGAAGAGTTGCAATGTTTTTACATTTTTGCAAAATGTTTGGCTTAACTGAAGACAGATTGATACTCATATCTGCTTCTCAATTCAATCTGTTCCAATATGTTGTTTTGGCTAAGTGTGTGAAGAAAATAGTGCCCCACACAGACATGAAGTTGTAGAAAGGAAGAATAATTTAAAATAATTTTTGGACGAGGTGTGGTGGCACACGCCTGTAATCCCAGCACTTTCAGTGGCTGAGGCAGGCGGATCACTTGAGATCAGGAGTTCGAGACCAGCCTGGCCAACACGGTGAAACCCCGTCTCTACTAAAAATACAAAAATTAGCCAACGTGGTGGTGAGTGCCTGTAATCCCAGCTATTTGGGAGGCAGAGGCAGGAGAATTGCTTGAACCCAGGAGGTGGAGGTTGCAGTGAGCCAAGATTGTGTCCAGCTTGGTGACAGAGTGAAACTCCATCCGCCCACAAAAAAAAAAAATAAGTATTTTTGGCCAAATATTGTTCTTCTTCTTTGATCTCCAAACAAATGCTTTATTCAGGTTATTGCAATGGGAGGCATGACACCACATCATATGCTTTTTCTTCTATATCACATTAAAACCTATAGGTCTATTTTCAATGTTAATGGGTCTTTTACAAATCATGATTTTTATCATATTGGCATGGCCATTGGGAAAATATTGGTTCATCAAATAATGCAGATGTTCCAAATATTGATACACTTTATTATAAAATATTTTGAAATTCAGTAATATTACCCTTGATCTCCTTAGAAAAATCCATAAGTTTTGAAAAATTATCATGTTCCAGAATGCAGATACGTTTTCCAAATTTTAATTTTCACTTGAAAACTTTTTACATTTTCAGTAACAGCTCAGTTTTTTTTTTAAGACAATATCACTTTTTTTTTTTTTTTTCAGAGAAGGTCTTGCTCTGTTACCCAGGCTGGAGAGCAGTGGTGCAATCATAGCTCACTGCAACCTCTGCCTCCCAGGGCCAAATGATCCTCCCTCCTCAGCCTCTCCAGTAGTAGACTCTGGGCAGCAAGCCACCCAGGTGCCAAGGCAAGAGACTGAGGGTATGAGCTGTTCCAGTGTAATAAAGAAAATATATAGAAGAATACTTGTACTAGAAATAGAATATAGATGATGATATGTGAATATTAATAATCATTAGTTTGCAGTATTACTCTTTATTCCAATATTATAATAATCTCTGTTCTACAACTATAACCTAGGAAAAACCAGGCCATACAGAGATAGGAGCTGAAGGGACATTGTGAGAAGTGACCAGAAGACAAGATTACGAGCCCTCTGTCGCGACCAGACACGGCCACCAGAGGGCTCCCTGGTCTAGCGGTAACTCCAGCGCCTGGGACGTCACCGGTTACTTAGCAGACCGGGAAAGCGAGTCTCCCTTTCCCCGGGGTAGTTAGAGAAGACTCTGCTCCACCACCTCTTGTGGAAGGCGACATCAGTCAAGCTCGCCCGCAGCTACCCGGAGGCCTGTCTCCCTGTGATGCTGTGCTTCAGCGGTCAGGCTCCTGGTCTGCTTTCATATTCCGCCCTCTGCACCTGGCTCGGCCTTCTAGATAGCAGTAGCGGAATTAGTGAAAGTACTAAAAGTCTTTGAAATGCATAGTAGAAATAATGATGTAAGCTGTCCTCTCTCTCTCTCCGCCTCGGCTGCCAAACAAGGAAGGTCCCCCGACTGGTGGACACGAGACTCACGTAACCTTACCTATCATTGGAGATGGCTCACACTCCTTACCCTGCCCCCTTGCCTTGTATCCAATAAACAACAGTGCGGCCAGGCATTCGGGGCCACTACCAGTCTCCACATCTTGGTGGTAGTGGTCTCCCGGGCCCAACTGTCTTTTCTTCTATCTCTTTGTCTTGTGTCTTTATTTCTACGATCTCTCATCTCTGCACAAGGTGAAGAAAACCCACAGACCCTGTAGGGCTCATCCCTACAGTAGACTACAGGCTTACATCATCACCCCTGGCTAATTTTTTTTGTAGAGATTTGGTTTCACCATGTTGCTCCAAATGGTCGCAAACTCTTGAGCTCCAAAAGTGCTGGGATTACAGGCGTGAGCCACTGCACCCTGTCACACTTAGTTCATTTTTAAGTAATAAGTGCTCTATGAGTTCTTACCATTTTATCAAATAGAATACTGAAAAGACATACTTGGGGATCTAGATTGAATGAAAATTTTATTTTTTACTGCTTCATCAATGATATTCTTAAGTAACATGAAAATAAAATTGGCATGTTTACTTATTGAGGCAACCACGTGACTGTAAATAATAGAACTGCTACTATTGTTTGGAGCCACTGTCTTGTTTTGTGCTACGGTTTTACTTACTACTGCATTTGCACCAAAGCAGAGAACAAAAACAAGCGAAAAAGACAAGTAACATAGCTGTATTATGATAGAAAGAGTCTTATTTTCATGGAGCACTCTGAGATCCACTGTTCCAGATATAGTTCTCTCCCAGAACCATCACCTGTTCTGTCACAAAGTTTTATTAATTCTACTTCTCAAGTATTCTTCTACTCACTGCTTCCTCTCCACAACTTTATGACTCAGTGAAACCCTCACTCTCTCTCACCTGAAATATTTCCATTTTCCATCATGTTTCCATCAGACTGCACTCCTCTTACTTCCCGTTATCTTGTTCACTTCCAGACTAACATCTCTAGACAGGTAACTGTGTTCCTCAAGGACTTAAAAGCACTTAACAACAGCTTAAAACTTAGGTTCTCACTCTTTAGCAAGGACTTGAAGACTTTTAATGATTCAGCTCCTGCTCACAAATCTAACCTCACTTTTTCCCACATCAACACTGAACAGAAGCTAAGTTCCACTCATATATAAAATCTTTCAATTTTCTTGAATAAAAAAGATTATGTGGCTGTCACCCATAATCTGACTCCAGAACTCTGTTTCTGCACCTTCCTGTCAAACTCATAATAAGTCTCCGTATTAGTCTGTTCTCATGCTGCTAATATGGACATGCCCAAGCCTGGGTGATTTATAAAGAAAAATAAGTTTAATGGACTCACAGTGCCACGTTGCTGGGGAGACCTCACAATCATGGCAGAAGGCAAAGGTCAGGTCATACACAGCAGCAGACAAGAGAGAGCATGGGCAGGGGAACTTCCCTCCATACAACCATCAGATCTCATGAGACTTATTCACTATCATAAGAACAGAACAGTCCTCATGATTCAATTACTTCTCACTAGGTCCTTCCCACAATACGTGGGAATTATGGGAACAACAATTCGAGATTTGGATGAGGACACAGCCAAACCATATCAGTCTCATAATAACGACCAAAGGCCAAGCCTTCCCTAAATCGTCCTTAAGAGACTCATGCAGATTTCATAATTTGCTCCCAGTTGGGCCTTTTCTCAAGACTTTGAGATTTTGATCTGGACTCAGATGCCTTTGTGGCTCATTATGAATTCCATTTGTGTTCTTACACTGGACTCAGTAAGATAGCTACTCTTTCATCAATTTGTGTCATTATTTATTAATTCTTTGCATAATTGGACTTCGAAATAGGATTTTAAAAAATGTTTTGACCGTGTGCTCTTCACAATGAAGATCACTAGGCATTTGTTATGTGATTCTTTCTTTCCTATCATATGGGAGAAAATAGGATTGGGCTGTGTGCCCTGAGAGGGAGGGCACATTTAGATATTTTAGGAGCTGTAAATAGAAGACCAAATATCAGAGAGAGAGACTTCGCTTCACCTGTAGTTCAAATGGTTTGTTAGGACAGGAACAGTGGCTCATGCCTGTAATTACAGCACTTTGGGAGGTTGAGGCAGGTGGATCACTTGGGCTCATGAGTTCAAGACCAGACTGAGCAACATGGTGAAACCCTGTCTTTACAAAAAATAGAAAAACTAGCCAGGCTTGGTGATGAACAGTATTATGAGGTTGCACTTCACTGAAAAACCAAAGTTGTTTAGCACTTCCATGTGAACCACACCATCTCACAACTATGACGTGTAGCAGAAGTCCATTCCCAAGGACACAAAGAAGACACACCATGTTAATGGAATGACATACTGCAATGTATCTAGATAAACCATCCTGGGCCTTGATGAGACAGACAGATGCAGTCTTGAAGGAACTGATTATACAATGATTCTGCATTTAAATATTTGACCTAATTTTAATGACAAAAATGTATGCACCTTTCATTTTCAAAGTACAGTTGTTCCTCAGTATCCATGGGAAATCAGCTCCAAAATACACCCACAGATACCAAAAACCACTGAAGCTCAATTCTTATATACAATGGTATATTTGCATATAACCCATGCTTATCCTTCCACATGCAGTCATGTGCCTCATAATGACCTTTTAATCAATAATGAACCATGTATATTACCATGGCCCCCTAAGATTATAAACACATATAGAAACCTTCTTGCAGGAAGTCAGAGACCCCGAATGGAGGGACTGGCGGGAACCATGGCAGAAGAATATAAATTGGGAAGATTTCATGGACATTTATTAATACTTTTATAATTAATACTTTTATGATTTCTTATCCCTGTCTTACTTTAATCTAATCCCATCACCTTCGTAAGCTGAGGATGTATGTCACCTCAAGACCGTGTGATGATTGCATTAACTGTACAAATTGTTTGTAAAATGTGTGTTCAAACAATATCAAATCTGATTGTAAAACATGGTTGTTTGAACAATATGAAATCAGTGCACCCTGAAAAAGAACAAAATAACAGCAATTTTCAGGGAATGAGGGAAGATAACCATAAGGTCTGACGGCCTGCGGGGTCAGACAGAATACAGCCATATTTTTCTTCTTGCACAGAGCCTATAGATGGACGTGTGAGTAAGAGAATATCACTGAATTCTTTTCCCAGTAAGTAATATTAATAATTAATACCCTGGGAAAGGAATGCATTCCCAGGGTTAGGTCTATAGACGGCTGCTCTGGGAGTGTCTGTCTTATGCAGTTGAAATAAGGACTGAAATACACCCTGGTCTCCTGCAGTACCCTCAGGCTTGCTAGGATTGGGAAATTCCAGCCTGGTGAATTCTAGTCAGACTGGTCTCTGCTCTTGAACCTTGTTTTCTGTTAAGATGTTTATCAAGACAATGTGTGCACAGTGGGACACAGACCCTCATCAGTGGTTCTAATTTTGCCTTCACCTTGTGATCTTTATGGCCCTTTGAAGCATGTGATCCTTATGACCTACTCCCTGTTCATACACCCCTTCCCCTTTCAAAATCCCTAATAAAAACTGGCTGGTTTTGCAGCTCAAGGTCGCCATCATGGTCCAATGTGATGGCACCCCCAGAGGCCAAGCTGTAAAATTTCTTTCTTTTTACCCTTTATTTCTCAGACCAGCCAACACTTAAGGAAAATAGAAAGAACCTACGTTGAAATATTGGGGGCTGGTTCCCCTGATAAAACTTGATATGTGGGACTTGATACTAGCACTGCAGATCAAGTAGGGAAAGTGACTGATATTCAATGATGGTGTTAGAACATATGATTTCTCATAAGAAAAAATATAAACATATATACCATCTAGGATTATGTAAGCACACTTTATGATGTTCACAAAACAAAAATGTTGCTTAGTAATGCATGTCTCAGAACATACACATGTCATTAAGCCATGCATGAGTGTACTTTATATCATCTCTGGAACACTTCGGTCAATCAGGAAACATGACCGAGACAAATCTCAATCATTTTAAGAGGTTTATTTGCCAACATTAAGGATGCACACCCAGGAGACAAGTCTATGCCTTTCTTTAAAAATGATTATGAGGGCTCCAAATTTAAAGGGGAAAGGGTGAAACACTGAGAAATACAGTTTTCATGTAAGACTGGGGTAGGGGGAAAACATTCATTGATATGGTTTGGCTCTGTGTCCCCACCCAAATTTCACCATAAATTGTAATAATCCCCATGTGTCAAGGGTGGGGCCGGGTGGAAGTAATTGGATCATCAAAGCAGTTTCCTCTATGCTGTTCTCATGATAATGAGTCACATGAGATCTGATGGTTTTGTAAGTGTCTGGCCTTTCCCCTGCTTGCACTCAATGTCTCTCCTGCCCCCCGTGAAGAGGTGCTCTCTGCCATTATTGTAAGTTTCCTGAGGCCTCCCCAGTCATGCAGAGCTGTGAGTCAATTAAACCTCTTTCCTTTATAAATGACCCAGTCTTGAGTATTTCTTCAGAGCAGTATGAGAACAGACTGATACAGTCATTCATGCCTTTGTCTCAGTGAATCTGCATTTATACATAACATAGACAAACAGGGAGGGGAACAATCAGATATGCATTTGTGTCAGGTGGGCAGAGGGATGACTCTGAGTTCTGTCCTATGCACTGTAAAGATGAGCTATCAGACCAGGCACAGCAGCTCACATCTGTAATCCCAGCACTCTAAGAGGCTGAGGTGGCTGGATCACCTGAGGTCAGGAGTTTGAGACCACCCTGACCAACATGGAGAAACACCATCTCTACTAAAAATACAAAATTAGCCAAGTGTGGTGGTGCATGCCTGTAATCCCAGCTACTCAGGAGGCTGAGGCAGGAGAATCACTTGAACCTGGGAGGCAGAGGTTGCGGTGAGCCGAGATTGTGCCATTGCACTCCAGCCTGGGTGACAATAGTGAAACTCCATCTCAAAAAAAACAATAAAAAGGATAAGCTATGAATTTACATTGCCATGATGAATTTTAACAGAAACACTTTAAAGATCTTAAAGTACACCAGAAATTTCCTTGTGGGAAAAATATGAGTGGGGGGCTACAAGATAAAAAGCTTTTTATCTTGTAGCCATCTTATTTAGGAACCAAAAGGAGGAGGCAGGTTTTCATGAGTGAGTTCCCAGCTTGATTTTTCCCTTTAGCTTAATGAGTTTGGAGTCCCAATCTTTATTTTCCTTTCACACTTAGAAGACCAAATACAATGTGGATGTAAATAGTTGTGTTGTTTAGGAAGTAATGACAAGAAAAAGTCTGAATATGTTCACTACAGATGCAAGCGTCTGATTTTATTTCAAATATTTTGCATCCAAGTTTGTTTACATACACAGATATTAAAAGTACAGATACAAAAAGGTGAGTGTACTTACAAATTAATAGCTCTACACAGGCAGCATAAAATTCTCTTTGTACATGCCAAAAACATTCTGTGTCTACCCAGGGTGAATACAGCCACTTCACAAACATGGTGTAAATAAGGAGGTTCATTAAGTACAAGAAAGTTACATGACCATATTGGCATTTTAACAGCCATTCATGAGAAAGAGAATAGGAAAGGGCTTAAGAGTCAGAGGAGAGGAAAAGAGGAAGACAGATGACCTCCTACATCAGAAGATGGAGCAGTGAGAATACAGAATAGGGAAGCAATAGTTAAAAGGAAAAAAAGTAGAAACAGGATTTGATGTCAGTTTGCTGTGCAGAGGGTAAAAAGGGGAGTTTTATTTCCAGGCTATCTGCCATGATCACAGTGAGTTTGTTACTGGTGATGTGAAATTTGGAAAAATAAAAGAACAATAGGATGGCCAGAAGTGATACAGACTTGGACACATCATGTTTGAAATATCTGAGGTCCCATATGTAGGGATGTCCAACTGGCAATTGGGAATACAATTCCAGAGTTCACAAGAGATATCAAAGCTGGAGATAAAGATTTTGAAACTATCAGAATTTCAATGGTACCTGAATCCATCAGACCAAATGAACCTAAGAGAATGAAAGGATAAAAAGGAACAAGTACAGAATCCACAGAATCCCTAATATTTACAAAGAGAAATAAACTGTTAAGACCAAGAAGGAACTTTCTGAGTTTATTTCACAAATTAAGAACAGCTCAATATTAGAAAGTCTACTAATACAATTCATCATATTCAGAGTCCTGAGAAGAAAAATCCTTTAATTGTCCACATAGGCATTAAGAAGAAAAGTCATAGAAACAGATTCCAGGTTCTGATTTCTGCATGTAAGAAGCTTAGAAGTGGCCAGGTGCAGTGGCTCATGCCTGTAATCCCAGCACTTTGGGAGACCAAGGTGGGCAGATAACCTGAAGTCAGAAGTTCAAGACCAGCCTGGTCAACATGGCAAACCCCCATCTCTACTAAAAATAAAAAAATTAGGTCTGGGCATGGAGGCTCACACCTGTAACCCCAGCACTTTGGAAGCTTGAGTTGGGTGGATCACCTGAAGTCAGGAGTTTGAGACCCACCTGGCCAACATAGCAAAACCCCATCTCTACTATAAATACAAAAATTAGAAAAGTGTGGTTGTGTTTGCCAGTAGTACCAGCTACTTGGGAGGCTGAGGCAGAAGAATTGCTTGAACCTGGGAGTTGGAGGTTGCAGTGAGCCAAGATCAAGCCACTGCACTACAGCCTGGATGACAGAGTGAGCTCTGCCTCAAAAAATTAAAAAATAAAATAATAATAATATAAAAGTTAGCCAGCATGGTGGTGGGTGCCTGTAATCCCAGATACTCAGGAGGCTGAGGCAGGGAGAATCACTTGAACCTGGGAGCCAGATATTGCAGTGAGTTGAGATTGCACCACTGCACTCCAGCCTGAGCAACAAAGTGAGACTCCATCTCAAAAAAAGGAAAAAAAAAAAAGAATGCAAGTAATCAGTCCATCTTAACAACACATGAAAAGCTGAAAAGATCAGGTGTGGTGGCTCATGCCTATAATCCTAGCACTTTGGGAGGCCAAAGCAGGAGGATCCCTTGAGTCTAGGAGTTTGAGACCAGCCTGGGCAACATAGTGAGACCCCCAACTCTTAAAAAATTTTTTTAATAAAACAAATAAAAGCTGAAGAGACTGAAAAATCTACAATCCTTTTTGGATTTGAATGTGAAGAGAGGACATAGGGCAAGCCACTGCCCCCAAGATTGGAGAGATAGAGAAGTGAATATAGGAATTTATGGCTTACATGAACAGAGACTCACTACTGAAACCACCTTAGGAACCAGTGCTGGAGTAGAAAATCTTGAACTATAACTGGTGAATTGCTGAAGGTTCCATTATGGAGAACTCAAGGAGGTAAAAACGCCAGGGATATCCAGTTATGAAGGAGCATAATATTGTAAAATTTACCTCCTGGAGCTTCACCAGGCTCCTGTGGCAAATACCTGAGAAAACTGGCTTCCTGCTTCCAACTTTGGGAAGGAAAAAGGAAAACCATCTTAAAATATGCCAGAGCACCCTGTTCTTAACAAGACTTGTCCTCAGGAGAAATTACTGAACCTCAGCCTAACTTGCTCTCATATAATCAGATCCTAAATGACCTTCTGGAAGGGAAGTACCCAACTCCAGCCTACTCCAGTCATCCCTAAAGGGGAAGACAAAAACAGAGAAAGACATGTGAAGTTCATAGTCCAAAAGCAGAGACTCACTTAAACAATGAGGCCCAATCGTAAGAGTCCAGAACACTTCTGCTATGGTCTGAACATTTGTTCCCTGCTCGACACCCTGCAAAATGTGCCTGTTGAAACCAAGTCTCCAATGCACTAGAATTAAGGGGTGGGGCCTTTGAAAGGTAATGGCAAAGTCATCCTGATTGGGATTAGTGCACTTATGAAAGAGGCCAAAGGAAGCTTCTTTGTCCATTCCAACATGAGAGGACATATAGCTTGCACCATCTATGAGGAATGGGTCTCATCAAACACTGAATCTCTTGGAACCTTGACTTTGGACTTTATAGCCTCCAAACTGAACAACAAATTTCTGTTGTTTACAAATTACTTGCTCTAAGTTATGCTGGTGGATGGACTAAGACAGCTTCCCCTCCCCTCCAGAGCTTCCCATCATTACAGGATGCACTGTTACAGTAGTTCCTTTTACCTGGTATCCCATATCTAGGAATAAAGAAAAAGCACAAGGCATACTAAAAGGCAAAAAACACAATTTGAAGTGACAGATCATCAGAACAAGACACAGCTATGATGCTGGAATTATCAGACAGGGATTTTTAAAAATATCTCTGAGTAGTATGCTAAGGGCTCTGATGAACAAAGGAGACAGCATTCAAGAACAGATAGGCAATGTAAGCAGAGAGACAGAAGTCCAAGGAAAGAACAAAAAAGAAACAGTAGAGATAAAAAAATACTGCAACAGACCTGAAGAATGTCTTTGATTGGCTTACTAGTAGACTGAACACAACAAAGGAAAGAGTCTCTGAGCTCTGGAAACATTGAAAGAAACTTTAAAAACTGAAAACAATGGAACATAATATCCAAGAACTGTAGGACAGCTAGAAAAGGTGTAACATAGAGTGATGAGAATACTAGAAGGAGAAGAGAGAGAAGTAGAAGAAACATCTGCAACAGTCATGTCTGACAACTTCCACTGTTAATGTCAGACACAAAATCAAAGATCGGAAGCTCAGAGTGCACCAGACAGGACACATGCTAAAAACCTACAGCTAGGCATGTTATTCTCCAACTGTACAAAACAGCAGCTCCAACAGAGCAAAGGTGGAGTGGACAACATCCTACCTATAGAGAAACAAAGAAACAAAGAAAGAGAAACAAAGAAACCTACAGACAAACAAAAATCACATTCAGGCCGGGCTTGGTGGCTCATGCCTCTAATCCCAGTACTGTGGGAGGCCAAGGTGGGTGGATCACAAGGTCAGGAGATCGAGACCATCCTGGCTAACATGGTGAAACCCCGTCTCCACTAAAAATACAAAAAATTAGCCAGGCATGGTGGCAGAAGCCTGTAGTCCTAACTACTCCAGAGGCTGAGGCAGGAGAATGGTGTGAATCCGGGAGGCAGAGCTTGCAGTGAGCTGAGATTACACCACTGCACTCCAGCCTGGGTGACAGAGCAAGACTCTGTCTCAAAAAAAAAAAAATAAAAAAAGCATTGCATTCAACATCTCAGAACCATGAAAGTAAAAAGAGAGTGGAATGAAATATTAAGCATGCTGAGAGAAAAAAAAAATGAACTTAGATTTAAGTGCCCTGTGAGATCTTCTTTCAAAAGTAAATGAGAAATAAAACATTCCTTGGACAAACAATAATTGAGGAAACTTGTTATCAGCAAATGTGTCATGTGAGAATATGTTAAACATTATCTAGACAAAAAAAAGATACGCATCTGAAAACTGAATCTACACTTTATTTACTTTTATTTATTTATTTTGAGACTGAGTTTCACTGTGTTGTCCAGGCTGGAGCACAGTGGCACAATCTCGGCTCACTGAAATCTCTGCCTCCGAGGTTCAAGCAATTCTCTGCCTCCGCCTCCTAAGTAGCTGGGATTACAGGAGCCCTCCCCCACGCCTGGCTAATTTTTTTGTATTTTTATTAGAGAC
>NT_187496.1:0-7642 GCF_000001405.40 Homo sapiens | reverse complement strand
GTCAGTTCAAAGCTATTAGGGTATCCATCACCCAAGTAACATATATTGTACATATTATGTAATATATAAGTCCAATGGGGTCTCAGGAACATTCAGTAGAGTAGAACCCTGACCTCTTCCTCTAGCTTGAACTATTTTCTTATCAGCTTCTTCCTCTTTGCCCAAACTTTAAATGTTGAAGTTCCTAAATCCTGGGTCCTCTTCTGTTCTTATTCCATACTAGGCTTGTCCAACCCATGGTCTATGGGCCATGTGTGGCCCAGGACAGCTTTGAATGCAGCCCAACACAAATTTGTAAACATTCTTCAAGCATTATAAGATATTTTATGATTTTGTTTAGCTCATCAGCTATTGTTAATATTAGTATATTTTATGTGTGGCCCAAGACAATTCTTCTTATTTGAATGCAGCCAGGGAAGCCAAAAGATTGGACACAGACTGCCTACACAGACTCTAGACAAGGTTTTATTAATTACTATGGCTTTAGATACCATTTATATGCATATGACTCCTACAGACCTCTCCTCCCAAGCTCCAAAACATTATGTGCACCTGCCATCTTGAAATCTCCCCTGGGATTTTCACAGGCATTCCTAAAATCAGATTTCAAAACTCTTGAGTTCTGCCCCCACATCTATGCCACTTCCTCAATCATTTCTCTTTTGTTAGTTTATTTCTTTTTCAGCCTTACCATTTTTCATAAAAATTATCTCCATTTACCCATATGCTTCTTCCAGAAAGCATCATCATCCTTGATGCTTTCTTCTTCCTTCAACCCCCCCTACCATCACAACTTGCAACCAAGTACTGTTATTTCACCTTCAAAATATGTGCTAAAATTATCCGCTTCTGTCCTCTGCATCTTTCACCTGGTGTGCAAACATATACTCCTCTTTCCAACTTTTTGCCTCTCCAATACCTTCTCTATGGCACACCCAGAGAGGTTCTTCAAAAATTTCAATTAGATCATGTCTCTCCTTCGTTTAAAAATCTTTAATGATTTTCTACCCACGAAATAATTCTGCTAGTCTGCAAGCTCTAAAGATGCAAGGACTAGGTTTGCCTTATTTATTTCTGTTTATGCAGAGCCTAGCCTTGCATTTAGTAGGAATTTAACACATTGACCTAGATCTTGTCCACCTTCTCAGCCTCACCTCTCATGGAAGCACTCATAGGCCTCAGTCCAGTTACTCTTTTCTCAGATCCCTGAGCTGGCCTGGTACAGGGCTTCCTCAGCCATGATGCGTTCACTCCTGATTTGTTGGCTGGTATCTGCTTATATTCTTGCTACTGTAACTGATGTCCAAGACAGTCACATAGGCATCCCTGGGAGCTTGCTAGAACTCAGGCACCACCCTAGATACAATGAATCAGAATCTGCATGTTGACAAGGTCCCCAGGTGGTTCATATGCACATTCAAGTTTACAGTGCTTTGCTCTGGATCCCAGCCTGAGTGTTAGTTCTTTAAAGAGACCTTTCCCAACTGGCCAAATCTTATTAAGTCATGTGATGGATTCACCCACATGGTCTGTGATACAGAAGGGAAAAGGAGTTGAGGCCTATTGATCAGAAGCTGCTCACTTTAGAGTTTTACCTAAGGGTGATCCTATCAAAAGTTCTGGATTTTGTAGAGAAGCATACAAAGTATGTGAATAGTTTGATTTGAGCAAATTGAAAATTGCCAGTTTTCTTTGCTTTAACAAATGTTTGCTTTCCCTCTGAAAATCCCTTGTTACAGGTCCTTAGTTTTAGTGTGCTACATTATGACATGATGGGAATAGTGCACAGCAGTGATCCTCAGTTGGTTTGGGTTTTCAATACATAATTGATCCATGGTTGTGGCATGTATTGTAGAATGTCCAGCTAGAACACCTATTCTTTCAATTACTTTCATTACTTTCAATGGCAAAACCACAATTACTTTTGCACTAACCTGATAGCTTTGCCACAAGTCAGTTGTTTGGTTTTCTTTTTTTGTTGTTGTTTGTTTTTATTTTTGCAAACACTTTAGATACTACATAGTGGATGGATTAGTTTGTGGTTCCTGGGATCTTCTGTGTATTCTGTTGAAGCTCAGTAATCACATTGCTGCGGACCTCCAAAATTTTACAAAGGACTGCATAGTGAGTATTCAGCTGGTAAACTAAACCACAGCTTATTACTGTGAGAAGAAAGAAAGCACACCAATTAAAAGTAAACACTGTTTAAACCTATCTCAATGAATTTCTAAAGTGTCATATATTTATTATATTCTCTACTTGTAAAATATTTTGTTGTGTGTATTGCCAAGTATTTCAGGATTTTATGGGTATAATGTATTCTATTAATTTTACTGGAAACCTTGTAGTTATTCAACAAACAAACTAAAAGGGTTGGCAGAGATGTAATTTCGAAAAGAGTGTTTCAAAGCTTCTCTTTCAAAAGAAAAGTTCAACTCTGTGAGTTGAGTACACACATCACAAAGTAGTTACTGAGAATTCTTCTGTCTACTTTTTATGGGAAGATATTTCCTTTTCCACCATAGGCCTTAAAGCACTCCAAGTTTCCACTTACAGATTCTACAAAAAGAGTGTTTCAAAACTGTTCTATGAAAGGGAATGTTCAACTCTGTGAGTTGAATGCAAACTTCATAAAGAAGTTTCTGAGAATGCTTCTGTCTAGTTTTTATGTGAAGATATTCCCATTTCCAAAGAAAGCCTCAAAGCTATCCAAATAACCACTTGCAGATTCTACAAAAAGAGTGATTCAAAACAACTGTTTCAAAAGAAAGGTTCAACTCTGTGAGTTGACTACACACATCACAAAGAAGTTTCTGAGAATGCTTCTGTCTAGTTTTTATGTGAGGATATTTCCTTTTTCACCATAGGCCTCAAAGCGCTCCAAATGTCCATTTCCAGATACTACCAAAAGAGTGTTTCAAAACTGCTGTATGAAAGGGAATGTTCAACTCTGTGAGTTGAATGCAAACATCACAAAAAACTTCCTGAGAATGCTTCTGTCTAGTTTTTATGTGAAGATATTCCCGTTTCCAACGAAGGAATCAAAGCAGGCTAAATATCCACTTGCAGATTCTAAGAAAAGAGTGTTTCAAAACTTCTCTTTCAAAAGAAAATTTCAACTCCATGAGTTGAGTACACACATCACAAAGTAGTTTCTGAGAATACTTCTGTCTAGTTCTTATGGGAAGATATTTCCTTTTTCACCAGAGACCTCAAAGCGCTCCAAGTTTCCACTTAAACAGATTCTACAAAAAGAGTGTTTCAAAACTGCTCTGTGAAACGGAATGTTCCACTCTGTGAGTTGAATGCAAACCTCATAAAGAGGTTTCTGAGATGCTTCTGTCTAGTTTTTATGTGAAGATATTCCCGTTTCCAATGAAAGCCTCAAAGCTATACAAATAACCACTTGCAGATCATACAAAGAGTGTTCAAACCTGCTGTATCAAAAGAAAGGTTCAATTTGTGAGTTGACTACACACATCACAAAAAAGTTTCTCAGAATGCTTCTGTCTAGTTTTTATGTGAGGATACTACCTTTTTCACCATAGGCCTCAAAGCTCTCCAAATGTCCACTTCCAGCTACTACAAAATGAGTGTTTCAGAACTGCTGTATGAAAGGGAATGTTCAACTCTGTGAGTTGAATGCAAACAACACAAAGAAGTTTCAGAGAATGCTTCTGTCTAGTTTTTATGTGAAGATATTCCCGTTTCCAACAAAATCCTCAAAGCTAGCCAAATATCCACTTGCAGACTCTACAAAAAGAATGTTTGAAAACTGCTCTATCAAAAGAAAAGTCAAATCTGTGAGTTGAGTACACACATCATAAAGTAGTTTCTGAGAATTCTTCTGTCTAGATTTTATGGGAAGATATTTCCTTTTTCACCACAGGCCTCAAAGCGCTCCAAGTTTCCACTTCACATTCTACAAAAAGAGTGTTTCAAAACTACTCTATGAAAAGGAAAGTTCAATTTTGTGGGTTGAATGCAAGCATCACAAAGAATTTCTGAGAATGCTTCTGTCTAGTTGTTACTTGAAGATATTCCCGTTTCCAACGAAAGTCTCAAACTCGGTGAGTTGAATGCACACATCACAACGAAGTTTCTGAGAATGTTTCTGTCTAGTTTTTATGTGAAGATATTCCCGTTTCTGTTGAAGGCCTCAGAGCAGGTTAAACATCCACTTGCAGATTCTACGAAAAGAGTGTTTCAAAACTTCTCTTTCAAAACAAAAGTTCAACCCTGTGAGTTGAGTACACACATCACAAAGTAGTTACTGAGAATTCTTCTGTCTAGTTATTATTCAAAGATATTTCCTTTTTCACCATAGGGGTAAAAGTGCTCCAAGTTTCCACTTACAGATCCTTCAAAAAGAGTGTTTCAAAACTGATCTATGAAAAGGAATGTTCAACTCTGTGAGTTGAATGCAAACGTCATAAAGAAGTTTCTGAGAATGCTTCTGTCTAGTTTTTATGTGAAGATATTCCCGTTTCCAACGAAAGCCTCAAAGCTATCCAAATAACCACTTGCAGATTCTACAAAACGAGTGTTACAAACTGCTGTATCGAAAGAAGGTTCAGCTCTGTGAGTTGACTACACACATCACAAAGAAGTTTCAGAGAATGCTTCTGTCTAGTTGTTATGTGAGGATATTTCCTTTTTCACCATAGGCCTCAAAGCGCTCCAAATGTCCACTTCCAGATATTACAAAAAGTATGTTTCAAAACTGCTGTATGAAAGGAGATGTTCAACTCTGTGAGTACAATGCAAACATCACAAAGAAGTTCCTGAGAATGTTTCTGTCTAGTTTTTATGTGAAGATATTCCCGTTTCCAATGAAATCCTCAAAGCTATCCAAATATCCACTTGCAGACTCTACAAAAAGAGTGTTTGAAAACTCCTCTATCAAAAGAAAGGTTCAAATCTGTGAGTTGAGTACACACATCACAAAGTAGTTTCTGAGAATTCTTCTGTCTAGTTTTTATGGGAAGATATTTCCTTTTTCAACACAGGCCTCAAACCGCTCCAAGTTTCCACTTACAAATTCTACAAAAAGAGTGTTTCAAAACTGTTCTATGAAATGGAATGTTCAATTTTGTGGGTTGAATGCAAGCATCACAAAGAAGTTTCTGAGAATGCTTCTGTCTAGTTGTTACTTGAAGATATTCCCGTTTCCAACGAACCCTCAAAGCTATCCATATATCCACTTGCAGATTCTATAAAAAGTGTGTTACAAAAATGCTGTATCTAAAGAAAGGTTCAACTCTATGAGTTGAGTACAGACAGCACAAAGAAGTTTCTGAGTAAGCTTCTCTCTAGTTTTTAGGTGAAGATATTTCCTTTTTCACCTTTGGCCTCAAAGTGCTCCAAATTTCCAATTCCAGATACTTCAAGAAGAGTGTTTCAAAACTGCTCTATGAAAAGGAATGTTGAACTCTGTGAGTTGAATGCAAGCATCACAAAGAAGTTTCTGAGAATGATTCTGTCTAGTTTTTATGGGAAGATATTCCCATTTCCAACGAAATCCTCAAACCTATTCAAATATGCACTTGCAGACTCTACAAAAAGAGGGTTTCAAATCTGATCTATGAGAAGAAAAGTTCAACCCAGTGAGTTGAGTACACCCATCACAAAGAAGTTTCAGAGAATGCTTCTGTCTAGTTTTTATGTGAAGATATTTCCTTTTTCACCATAGACCTCAAAGTGCTCCAAATGTCCAATTCCAGATACTACAAAAAGAGTGTTTCAAAACTGCTCTATGAAAAGAAATGTTCAACTCTGTGAGTTGAATTCAAGCATCACAAACAAGTTTCTGAGGATGCTTCTCTCTAGTGTTTGTTTCTGTGAAGATACACTCGTTTCCAAGAAAGGCCTCAAAGCTGTCCAGATATCCACTTGCAAATTCTACAAAAAGAGTGTTTCCAATCTGCTCTATCAAAAGAAAGTTTCAACTCAGTGTGTTGAATGCACACATCACAGAGAAGTTTCTGAGAATGCTTCTGTCTAGTTTTATGTGAAGATATTCCGTTTCCAATGAAATCGTCAATGCAGTCCCAATATCCACCTGTACATTCTACAAGAAGAGTGGTTCCAAACTGCTTTATCAAAGGAAAGGTTTAATTCTCTGAGTTGAGTACACACATCAAAAAGTCGTTTCTGAGAATGCTTCTGTCTACTTTTTATGGGAAGATATTTCCTTTTTCACCATATGTCTCGAATCACTCCAAATGTCTACTTGCAGATTCTACAAAAAGAAAGTTTCAAAACTGATCTATGAAAAGGAATGTACAATTCAGTGAGTTGAACGCAAACTTCATAAAGAACCTTCTGAGAATGCTTCTGTCTTTTTCTTATGTGAAGATATTACCATTTCCAATGAAAGCCTCAAATCTATCCAAATATCCACTTGCAGATACTACAAAAAGAGTGCTTCAAAACTGCTGTATCAAAAGAAAGGTTCAACTCTGTGAGTTGACTACACAAATCACAAAGGAGTTTCTCAGAATGCTTCTCTCTAGTTTTTATGTGAAGATATTTCCTCTTTCACGGCAGGCCTCGAACCGCTCCAAATGTGCACTTCCAGATACTACAAAAAGAGTGTTTCAGAACTGCTCTATCAAAAGAAAGGTTCAACTCTATGAGTTGAATGCACACATCACAACGAAGTTTCTGAGAATGCTTCTGTCTAGTTTTTATGTGAAGATATTCCCGTTTCCAACGAAGGCCTCAAAGCAGTCAAAATATCCACTTACAGATTCTACGAAAAGAGTGTTTCAAAACTTCTCTTTCGGGGAGGAGCCAAGATGGCCGAATAGGAACAGCTCCGGTCTACAGCTCCCAGCGTGAGCGATGCAGAAGACGGGTGATTTCTGCATTTCCATCTGAGGTACCAGGTTCATCTCACTAGGGAGTGCCAGACAGTGGGCGCAGGCCAGTGTGTGTGCGCACCGTGCGCGAGCCGAAGCAGGGCGAGGCATTGCCTCACCTGGGAAGCGCAAGGGGTCAGGGAGTTCCCTTTCCGAGTCAAAGAAATGGGTGACGGAAGCACCTGGAAAATCGGGTCACTCCCACCCGAATATTGCGCTTTTCAGACTGGCTTAAGAAACGGCGCACCACGAGACTATATCCCACACCTGGCTCAGAGGGTCCTACGCCCACGGAATCTCACTGATTGCTAGCACAGCAGTCTGAGATCAAACTGCAAGGCGGCAACGAGGCTGGGGGAGGGGCCCCCGCCATTGCCCAGGCTTGCTTAGGTAAACAAAGGAGCCAGGAAGCTCGAACTGGGTGGAGCCCACCACAGCTCAAGGAGGCCTGCCTGCCTCTGTAGGCTCCACCTCTGGTGGCAGGGCACAGACAAACAAAAAGACAGCAGTAACCTCTGCAGACTTAAATGTCCCTGTCTGACAGCTTTGAAGAGAGCAGTGGTTCTCCCAGCACGCAGCTGGAGATCTGAGAACGGGCAGACTGCCTCCTCAAGTGGGTCCCTGACCCCTGACCCCCGAGCAGCCTAACTGGGAGGCACCCCCCAGCAGGGGCACACTGACACCTCACACGGCAGGTATTCCAACAGACCTGCAGCTGAGGGTCCTGTCTGTTAGAAGGAAAACTAACAACCAGAAGGACATCTACACCAAAAACCCAT
>NT_187495.1:0-7992 GCF_000001405.40 Homo sapiens | reverse complement strand
TTTTCTTATCAGCTTCTCCCTCTTTGCCCAAACTTTAAATGTTGAAGTTCCTAAATCCTGGGTCCTCTTCTGTTCTTATTCCATACTAGGCTTGTCCAACCCATGGTCTGTGGGCCATGTGTGGCCCAGGACAGCTTTGAATGCAGCCCAACACAAATTTGTAAACATTCTTCAAGCATTATAAGATATTTTATGATTTTTTTTAGCTCATCAGCTATTGTTAATATTAGTATATTTTATGTGTGGCCCAAGACAATTCTTCTTATTCGAATGCAGCCAGGGAAGCCAAAAGATTGGACACAGACTGCCTACACAGACTCTAGACAAGCTTTTATTAATTACTATGGCTTTAGATACCATTTATATGCATATGACTCCTACAGACCTCTCCTCCCAAGCTCCAAAACATTATGTGCACCTGCCATCTTGAAATCTCCCCTTGGATTTTCACAGGCATTCCTAAAATCAGATTTCAAAACTCTTGAGTTCTGCCCCCACATCTATGCCACTTCCTCAATCATTTCTCTTTTGTTAGTTTATTTCTTTTTCAGCCCTACCATTCTTCATAAAAATTATCTCCATTTACCCATTTGCTTCTTCCAGAAAGCATCATCATCCTTGATGCTTTCTTCTTCCTGCACCCCCCCTACCATCACAACTTGCAACCAAGTACTGTTATTTCACCTTCAAAATATGTGCTAAAATTATCCGCTTCTGTCATCTGCATCTTTCACCTGGTGTGCAAACATATACTCCTCTTCCCAACTTTTTGCCTCTCCAATACCTTCTCTATGGCACACCCAGAGAGGTTTTTCAAAAATTTCAATTAGATCATGTCTCTCCTTCGTTTAAAAATCTTTAATGATTTTCTACCCACGAAATAATTCTGCTAGTCTGCAAGCTCTACAGATGCAAGGACTAGGTTTGCCTTATTTATTTCTGTTTATGCAGAGCTTAGCCTTGCATTTAGTAGGAATTTAACACATTGACCTAGATCTTGTCCACCTTCTCAGCCTCACCTCTCATGGAAGCACTCATAGACCTCAGTCCAGTTACTCTTTTCTCAGATCCCTGAGCTGGCCTGGTACAGGGCTGCCTTGGCTGTGATGCGTTCACTCCTGATTTGTTGGCTGGTATCTGCTTATATTCTTGCTACTGTAACTGATGTCCAAGGCAGTCACATAGGCATCCCTGGGAGCTTGCTAGAGCTCAGGCACCACCCTAGATACAATGAATCAGAATCTGCATGTTGACAAGGTCCCCAGGTGGTTCATATGCACATTCAAGTTTAAGGTGCTTTGCTCTGGATCCCAGCCTGAGTGTTAATTCTTTAAAGAGACATTTCCCAACTGGCCAAATCTTATTAAGTCATGTGATGGATTCACCCACATGGTCTGTGATACAGAAGGGAAATGGAGTTGAGGTCTATTGATCAGAAGCTGCTCACTTTAGAGTTTTACCTAAGGGTGATCCTATCAAAAGTTCTGGATTTTGTAGAGAAGCATACAAAGTATGTGAATAGTTTGATTTGAGCAAACTGAAAATTGCCAGTTTCCTTTGCTTTAACCAATGTTTGCTTTCCCTCTGAAAATCCCTTGTTACAGGACATTAGTTTTAGTTTGCCACATTATGACACGATGGGAATAGTGCACAGCAGTGATCCTCAGTTGGTTTGGGTTTTCAATAGATAATTGATCCATGGTTGTGGCATGCATTGTAGCATGTCCAACTAGAATACCTATTCTTTCAATTACTTTCATTACTTTCAATGGCAAAACCACAATTACTTTTGCACTAACCTGATAGCTTTGCTACAAGTCAGTTGTTCAGTTTTCTTTTTTTGTTGTTGTTTGTTTTTATTTTTGCAAACACTTTAGATACTACATTGTGGATGGATTAGTTTGTGGTTCCTGGGATCTTCTGTGTATTCTGTTGAAGCTCAATAATCACATTACTGCAGACCTCCAAAATTTTACAAAGGACTGCATAGTGAGTATTCAGCCGATTAAACCACAGCTTATTACTGTGAGAAGAAAGAAAGCACACCAATTAAAAGTAAACACTGTTTAAACCTATCTCAATGAATTTCTAAAGTGTCATACATTTATTATATTCTCTACTTGTAATATATTTTGTTGTGTGTATTACCAAGTATTTCAGGATTTTATGGGTATAATGTATTCTATTAATTTAACTGGAAACCTTGTAGTTATTCAACAAGCAAACTAAAAGTGTTGGCAGAGACGTAATTTCGAAAAGAGTGTTTCAAAACTTCTCTTTCAAAAGAAAAGTTCAACTCTGTGAGTTGAGTACACACATCACAAAGTAGTTACGGAGAATTCTTCTGTCTACTTTTTGTGGGAAGATATTTCCTTTTCCACCATAGGCCTCAAAGCACTCCAAGTTTCCACTTACAGATTCTACAAAAAGAGTGTTTCAAAACTGTTCTATGAAAGGGAATGTTCAACTCTGTGAGTTGAATGCAAACTTCATAAAGAAGTTTCTGAGAATGCTTCTGTCTAGTTTTTATGTGAAGATATTCCTGTTTCCAAAGAAAGCCTCAAAGCTATCCAAATATCCACTTGCAGATTCTACAAAAAGAGTGTTTCAAAACTGCTGTATCAAAAGAATGGTTCCCTTCTGTCAGTTGACTACACACATCACAAAGGAGTTTCTGAGAATGTTTCTGTCTAGTTTTTATGTGAAGATATTTCCTTTTTCACCATAGGCCTCGAAGCACTCCTAATGTCCACTTCCAGATACTACAAAAAGAGTGTTTCAGAACTGCTCTATCAAAAGAAAGGTTCAACTCGGTGAGTTGAATGCACACATCACAACGAAGTTTCTGAGAATGTTTCTCTCTAGTTTTTATGTGAAGATATTCCCGTTTCCATGGAAGGCCTCAAAGCAGGTTAAACATCCACTTGCAGATTCTACGAAAAGAGTGTTTCAAAACTTCTCTTTCAAAAGAAAAGTTCAACTCTGTGAGTTGAGTACACACATCACAAAGTAGTTACTGAGAATTCTTCTGTCTAGTTTTTATGCAAAGATATTTCCTTTTTCACCATAGGCGTAAAAGTGCTCCTTCAAAAATAGTGTTTCAAAACTGCTCTATGAAAAGAAATGTTCAACTCTGTGAGTTGAATGCAAACTTCATAAAGAAGTTTCTGAGAATGCTTCTGTCTAGTTTTTATATGAAGATATTCCCGTTTCCAAAGAAAGACTCAAAGCTATCCAAATAACCACTTGCAGATTCTACAAAAAGAGTGATTCAAAACTGCTGTATCAAAAGAAAGGTTCAACTCCGTGAGTTGACTACACACATCACAAAGAAGTTTCTGAGAATGCTTCTGTCTAGTTTTTATATGAGGATATTTCCTTTTTCACCTTAGGCCTCAAAGCGCTCCAAATGCCCATTTCCAGATACTACCAAAAGAGTGTTTCAAAACTGCTTTATGAAAGGGAATGTTCAACTCTGTGAGTTGAATGCAAACATCACAAAAAAACTTCCTGAGAATGCTTCTGTCTAGTTTTTATGTGAAGATATTCCCGTTTCCAACGAAGGAATCAAAGCAGGCTAAATATCCACTTGCAGATTCTAAGAAAAGAGTGTTTCAAAACTTCTCTTTCAAAAGAAAATTTCAACTCCGTGAGTTGAGTACACACATAACAAAGTAGTTTCTGAGAATACTTCTGTCTAGTTTTTATGGGAAGATATTTCCTTTTTCACCATAGGCCTCAAAGCGCTCCAAGTTTCCACTTACAGATTCTGCAAAAAGAGTGTTTCAAAATTGCTCAATGAAAGGAATGTTCAACTCTGTGAGTTGAATGCAAACTTCATAAAGAAGTTTCTGAGAATGCTTCTGTCTAGTTTTTATGTGAAGATATTCCCGTTCCCAATGAAAGCCTCAAAGCTATCCAAATAACCACCTGCAGATTCTACAAAACGAGTGTTACAAACTGCTGTATCAAAAGAAAGGTTCAGCTCTGTGAGTTGACTACACACATCACAAAGAAGTTTCAGAGAATGCTTCTGTCTAGTTTTTATGTGAGGATATTTCCTCTTTCACCGCAGGCCTCGAAGCACTCCAAATGTGCACTTCCAGATACTACAAAAAGAGTGTTTCAGAACTGCTCTATCAAAAGAAAGGTTCAACTCTATGAGTTGAATGCACACATCACAACGAAGTTTCTGAGAATGTTTCTGACTAGTTTTTATGTGAAGATTTTCCCGTTTTCAACAAAGGTCTCAAAGCAGGGTAAATATCCACTTGCAGATTCTATGAAAAGAGTGTTTCAAAACTTCTCTTTCAAGAGAAAAGTTCAAGTCTGTGAGTTGAGTACACACATCACAAAGTGGTAACTGAGAATTCTTCTGTCTAGTTTTTATGGGAAGATATTTCCTTTTTCACCTTAGGCCTAAAAGCGCTCCATATTTCCAATTACAGATCCTAGAAAAAGAGTGTTTAAAAACTGCTCTATGAAAGGGAATGTTCAACTCTGTGAGTTGAATGCAAACTTCATAAAGAAGTTTCTGAGAATGCTTCTGTCTAGTTTTTATGTGAAGATATTCCCATTTCGAAAGAAAGCCTCAAAGCTACTCAAATAACCATTTGCAGATCCTACAAAAAGAGTGTTTCAAAACTGCTTTATCAAAAGAAAGGTTCAACTCTGTGAGTTGACTACACACATCACAAAGAAGTTTCTGAGAATGCTTCTGTCTAGTTTTTATGTGAGGATATTTCCTTTTTCACCATAGGCCTCAAAGCGCTCCAAATGTCCATTTCCAGATACTACCAAAAGAGTGTTTCAAAACTGCTGTATGAAAGGGAATGTTCAACTCTGTGAGTTGAATGCAAACATCACAAAGAAGTTCCTGAAAATGCTTCCGTCTAGTTTTTACATGAAGATATTCCCGTTTCCAACGAAGGCCACAAAGCAGGCTAATTATCCACTTGCAGAGTCTACGAAAAGAGTGTTTCAAAAGTTCTCTTTCAAAAGAAAAGTTCAACTCTGTGAGTTGAGTACACACATCACAAAGTACTTTCTGAGAATTCTTCTGTCTAGTTTTTGTGGGAAGATATTTCCTTTTTCACCAGAGACCTCAAAGCACTCCAAGTTTCCACTTACACATTCTACAAAAAGAGTGTTTCAAAACTGTTCTATGAAAAGGAATTTTCAATTTTGTGGGTTGAATGCAATCATCACAAAGAAGTTTCTGAGAATGCTTCTGTCTAGTTGTTACTTGAACATATTTCCGTTTCCAATGAAAGAATCAAAGCTATCCATATATACACTTGCAGATTCTATAAAAAGAGTGTTACAAAACTGCTGTATCTAAAGAAAGCTTCAACTCTATGAGTTGAGTACACACAGCAGAAATAAGTTTCTGATCATGCCTCTGTCTAGTTTTCAGGTGAAGATATTTCCTTTTTCACCATTGGCCTCAAAGCGCAGCAAATGTCCACTTCCAGATACTACAAAAAGTGTGTTTCAAAACTGCTGTATGAAAAGGAATGTTCAACTCTGAGTTGACTGCAAGCATCACAAAGAAGTTTCTGAGAATGCTTCTGTCTACTTTTTATGGGAAGATATTCCTGTTGCCAATGAAATCCTCAAAGCTATCCAAATATCCACTTGCACATTCTACAAAAACAGTGTTTCAAAACTGCTCTATCAAAAGAAAGGTTCAACTGTGTTAGTTGAGTACACACATCACAAACAAGTTTCTGAGAATGCTTCTGTCTAGTTTTTATGGGAAGATATTTCCTTTTTCACCATAGGCCACAAAGCGCTATAAATGTCCACTTCCAGATACTACAAAAAGAGTGTTGAAAACTGCTCTATGAAAGGGAATGTTCAACACTGTGACTTGAATGCAGAAATCACAAAGAACTTTCTGAGAATGCTTCTGTCTACTTTTTATATGAAGATATTCCCGTTTCCAATGAAATCCTCAAAGCTATCCAAATATCCACCTGCAGATTCCACAAAAAGAGTGTTTCAAAACTGCTTTATGAAAATAAAGGTTCAACTCTGTTAGTTGAGTACACACATCACAAACAAGTTGCTGAGAATACTTCTTTCTAGTTTTTATGGGAAGATATTCCCGTTTCCAACGAAATCCTCAAAGCTATCCAAATATGCACTTGCAGAGTCCACAAAAAGAGGGATTCCAATCTGATTTATGAGAAGGAAAGTTCAACTCTGTGAGTTGAGTACCCACACCACAAAGTAGTTTCAGAGAATGCTTCTGTCTAGTGTTTATGTGAAGACATTTCCGATTACAGCAAAATCATCAAAGCTATCCAAATATGCACTTGCAGACTCTACAAAAAGAGGGTTTCAAATCTGGTCTTTGAGAAGAAAAGTTCAACTCTGTGAGTTGAGTACACACATCACAATGAAGTTTCAGAGAATGCTTCTGTCTAGTTTTTATGTGAAGATATTCCCGTTTCCAGTGAAATCCTCAAAGCTAGCTAACTATCCACTTGCAGACTCTACAGAAAGAGTCATTCAAAACTGCTCTACCAAAAGAAAAGTTCAAATCTGTGAGTTGAGTACACACATCACAAAATATTTTCTGTGAATACTTCTGTCTAGTTTTTATGGGAAGATATTTCCTTTTTCACCATAGGCCTCAAAGCGCTCCAAGTGTCCACTTCCAGGTAATACAAAAAGAGTGTGTCAAAATTGCTCTATCAAAAGAAATGTTCAACTCTGTGAGTTGAATGCAAGCATCACAACCACGTTTCTGAGGATATTTCTGTCTAGTGTTTATGTGAAGATACACCGGTTACCAGGGAAGGCCTAAAAGCTGTCCAGATATCCACTTGCAAATTCTACAAAAAGAGTGTTTCAAAACTGCTCAATCAAAAGAAAGGTTCAACTCTGTTAGTTGAGTACACACATCACAAACAAGTTTCTGAGAATGCTTCTGTCTAGTTTTTATGGGAAGATATTTCCTTTCTCACCATAGGCCTAAAAGCGCTCCAAAAGTCCAATTCCAGCTACTACAAAAAGAGTGTTTCAAACCTACTCTATGAAAATGAATGTTCAACTCTGTGACTTGAATGCAAACATCACAAAGAAGTTTCTGAGAATGCTTCTGTCTACTTTTTATCTGAAGATATACCCGTTTCCAACGAAATACACAAAGCTATCCAAATATCCACTTGCAGATCCTACAAAAAGAGTGTTTCAACACTGCTCTATCAAAAGAAAGGATCAACTCTGTCAGTGGAGTACACACATCACAAACAAGTTTCTGAGAATGCTTCTGTCTAGTTTTTATGGGAAGAGAATTCATTTTTTCACCATAGGCCACAAGGTGCATAAAATGTCCACTTCCAGACACTAGAAAAAGAGTTTTTCAAACCTGCTCTATGAAAGGGAAAGTTCAACTCCGTGACGTCAACGCAAACATCACAAAGAAGTTTCTGAGAATGCCTCTGTCTACTTTTTATGAAGTTATTCCCGTTTCCAACGAAATCCTCAAAGCTATAAAAATATCCACTTGTAGATTCTACAAAGGATTGTTTCAATGCTGCTCTATCAAAAGAAAGGTTCAACTCTGTTAGTTGAGTACACACATCACAAACCAGTTTCTGAGAATGCTTGTGTCTAGTTTTCATGGGAAGATATTCCCTTTCTCTCCATAGGACTCAAAGCGCACAAAATGTCCACTCCCAGATACTACAAAAAGAGTGTTTCAAACCTGCTCTGTGAAAGGGAATGTTCAAGTCACTGACTTGAATGCAAACATCACAAAGATGTTTCTCAGAATCAAACTGTCTAGATTTTATATGAAGATATACCCATTGCCAACGAAATCCTCAAACCTATCCAAATATCCACTTGCAGATTCTACAAAAAGAGTGTTTCAAAACTGCTCTATCAAAAGAAACGTTCAACTCTCTTAGTTGAGTACACATATCGTGAACAAGTTTCTTAGAATGCTTCTGTTTAGTTTTTATGGGAAGATATATCCTT
>NT_187494.1:0-2805 GCF_000001405.40 Homo sapiens | reverse complement strand
AGGCATCAAAGTGCTCCAAATGTCCACTTGGAGATCTCTAAAAAGAGAGATTCTAAACTGCTCAATCAAAGTATAGATTCAACTCTGTGAGTTGAATGCACACATCAAAAAGAAGTTCCTCAGAATGCTTCTTTGTAGTTTTTATGTGAAAATATTTGCTTTTCCACAGTAGGCCTCAAAGAGCTCTAAATGCCCACTTGCAGATTCTCCAAAAAGAGAGATTCAAAACTGCTGAATCAAAGCATAGGTTCAACTCTGTGAGTTGAATGCACACATCATGAAGAAGTTTCTGATAATTCTTCTGTGTAGTTTTTATTTGAAGATATTTCCTTTTCCACCATAGACCGCAAAGGGCTCCTAATATGCACTTGCAGATTCTGCAAAGAGACAGATTCAAAACTGCCTAATCAAAATATAGTTTCAACTCTGTGAGATGAACGCACACATCCCCAAGAAGTTTCACACAATGCTACTGTGTAGTTTTTATTTGAAGATATTTGCTTTTCCACAGTATCCATCAAAGAGCTCCAAATATCCACCTGCAGATTCTGCAAAAAGAGAGATTCAAAACTGCTCAATCAAAAGATAGGTTCAACTCTGTAAGTTCTATGCATACATCACAAAGAAGTTTCTCTGAATGCTTCTGTGTAGTTTTTATTTGAAAATATTTGCTTTTCCACAGTAGGCCTCAAAGGGCTCCAAATAACCAGATGCAGATTCTACAAAAAGAGAGATTCAAAACTGCTCATTGAAAATATATGTTCAACTCTGTGAGTTGAATGCATACATCACAAAGGAGTTTCTCTCAATGCTTCTGTGTAGTTTTTATTTGAAGATAATTTCTTTTCCACCACAGGGTGCAAAGGGCTCCAAATATCCACTTACAGAATCTACACAAAGAGAGATGGAATACTGCTAACTGACAAGATAAGTTCAACTCTATGAATTGAATGCACACCTCTCAAAGAAGTTTCTCAAAGTGCTTCTGTGTAGTTTTTATGTGAAGATATTTCCTTTTCCACAAGAGGCATAAAAGCTCTCCAAACATCCAATTGCAGATTCTGCAAAAAGAGAGATTCAAATCTGCTCTATCAAAAGATAGGTTCAACTCTGTGAGTTGAATCCACACATCACAAAGACGTTTCTGAGAACGCTGTGTAGTTTTTCTGTGAACACATTTGATTTTACCCAGTAGGCCTCACAGCGCTACAAATATCCACTTGCAGATTCTAGAAAAAGAGATTCTAAACTGCTCAATCAAAAGATAGGTTCAACTCTGTGAGGTGAATGCACACATCACAAAGAAGTTTCTCAGAATGCTTCTCAGTAGTTTTTATTTGAAGATATTTCCTTTTACACCAAAGGCGGCAAAGGGCTCCAAATATCCACTTGCAGATTCTGCAAAAAGAGTGTTTCAAAACTGCTCAATCATAAGATAGGTTCAACCCTGTGAGATGAAGGCACACATCACCAAGAAGCTTCTCAGAATGTTTCTATGTAGTTTTTATTTGAAGATATTTCCTTTTCCACCAATGGGCGCAAAGGGCTCCAAATATCAACTTGCAGATTCTAAAAATGATGAGTTTCAAAACTGCTCAATGAGAAGATAACTTCAGATCTGTGAGTTGAATGCACACCTCATGAAGACGTTTCTCAGAATGCTTCTCTGTAGTTTTCATGTGAAGATATTTACTTTTCCACTCTAGGCCTCAAAGCTCTCCCAACATCCATTTGCAGATTCTGCAAAAAGAGAGATTCCAAACTGCTTAAACGAAACATAGGTTCAACTCTATGAGTTAAATGCACACATCACAACGAAGTTTCACAGAATGATTCTTTGTAGGTTTTATGTGAACGTATTTGGTTTTCCACAGTAGGCCTCACATCACTCCAAATATCCACTTGCAGTTTCCACAAGAGAGATTCAAAACTGCTCAATCAAAAGATAGGTTCAACAGTGTGTGTTGAATGCAGACATCACGAAGAAGTTTCTGAGAATGCTTCTGTGTAGTTTTTATTTGAAGATATTTCCTTTTCCACTACAGGGTGCAAAGGGTTCCAAATATCCAATTGCAGATACTACAAAAACAGAGATTCAAAAGTGCTCTTTTAGAAGCTAAATTCAACTCGGTGAGTTGAATGCACAGCTCACAAAGAAGCTTCTCAGAATGCTTCTCTGTGGTTTTCATGTAGAGATATTTCCATTTCCACAATAGGCCTCATAGCTCTCCAAACATCCACTTGCAGATTCTGCAAAAAGAGAGATTAAAAACTGATCTCTCAAAAGACAGTTTCAACTCTGTGAGTTGAAAGCACACACAACCAAGAAGTTTCTGAGAATGCTTCTGGGTAGTTTTTATTTGAAGATATTTCTTTTTTCACCAGAGGGTGCAAAGGGGTAAAAATACCAAATGCAGATTCTACACAAAAAGAGATTCTAAACTGCTTAATCAAAAGATAGGTACAAATCAGTGAGTTGAATGCACACATCACAAAGAAGTTTCTCAGAATGTTTCTGAGTAGTTTTTATGTGAAGATATTTCCCTTCCACAATAGGACTCAAAGGGCTCCAAATATACACTTGCACAATCTACAAAAAAAGAGTTTTTCACTGCTCAATCAAAAGATAGGTTTAACTCTGTGAGTTGAATGCACACATCACAAGAAGTTTCTCAGAATGCCTCTGTGTAGCTTTTATGTGAAGATATTTCCTTTTCCACAACAGGGCCTCAAAAGGCTCCAAATATCCACTTGCAGATTCTTCAAAAAGAGTGTTTCAAAACTGCTCAATCAAAAGAAAGGTTC
>NT_187493.1:0-2378 GCF_000001405.40 Homo sapiens | reverse complement strand
TAGAATCTGCAGGTGGATATTTGGCGTGCCTTGAGGCCTATTGTGGAAAAGGAAATATCTTCATATAAAAACTACACAGAAGCATTCTGAGAAACTTCTTTTTGATGTGTGCATTCAATTCACAGAGTTGAATCTTTCTTTTGATTGAACAGTTTTGAAACACTCTTTTTGTACAATCTGCAAGTGGATAATTGGAGCCCTTTGAGGCCTATTGTGGAAAAGGAAATATCTTCACATAAAAACTACTCAGAAGCATGCTGAGAAACTTCTTTGTGATGTGTGCATTCAACTCACAGAGTTGAACCTATCTTTTGATTGAGCAGTTTAGAATCTCTCTGTTTGTAGAATCTGCAAGTAGGTATTTGGAGCCGTTTGTGCCCTGTAGTGGAAAAGGAAATATCTTCAAATAAAAACTACACAGAAGCATTCTCAGAAACTTCTTCATGATGTGTGCATTCACCTCACAGAGTTGAACCTATCTTTTGATTGAGCAGTTTTGAATCTCTCTTTTTGTAGAATCTGCTAGTGGTTATTTGGAGCTCATTGCACCCTATGGTGGAAATGGAAATATCTTCAAATAAAAACTACACGGAAGCATTCTGAGAAACTTCTTTGAGATATGTGCATTCAACTCACAGAGGTGAACCTATCTTTTGATTGAGCAGTTTTCAATCTCTCTTTTTGCAGAATGTGCAAGTGGATATTTGGAGCCCTTTGTGGCTTGTGGTCGAAAAGGAAATATTTTCAAATAAAAACTACACAGAAACATTCTGAGAAACTTCTTTGTGATGTATGCATTCATCTCACAGGGTTGAACCTATCTTACGGTTGAGCAGTTTCGAAACACTCTTTTTCTAGAATCTACATGTGGATATTTGGAGCACTTTGAGGCCTACCGTGGAAAAGCCAATAACTTCAGATAAATACTACACAGAAGCATTCTGAGAAACTTCGTTGTGATGTGTGCATTCATCTCACAGAGTTGAACCTTTCTTTTGATGAGCAGTTTTGAAACACTTTTCGTACAATCTGCAAGTGGATATTTGGAGCCTTTTGAGGCCTTTTGTGGAAAAGGAAATATCTTCACATAAAAACTACACAGAAACATTCTGAGAAACTTCTTTGTCATGTGTGCATTCAATTCACAGAGTTGAATCTTTCTTTTGATTGAACAGTTTTGAAACACTTTTTTTGTACAATCTGCAAGTGGATAATTGGAGCCATTTGAGGTCTATTGTGGAAAAGAAAATACCTTCAATTAAAAACTACTCAGAAGCATTCTGAGAAACTTCTTTGTTATGTGTGCAGTCAACTCACAGAGTTGAACCTATCTTTTTATTGTACAGTTTTGAATCTCTCTTTTTGTAGAATCTGCAAGTGGATATTTAAAGTGCTGTGAGGCCTACTGTGCAAAATATGTTCACATAAAAACTACACAGAAGCATTCTGAGAAACTTCTTTTTGATGTGTGCATTCAACTCACAGAGTTGAACCTATCTTCTGATTGAGCAGTTTGGAATCTCTCTTTTTGCAGAATCTGCAAGTGGATGTTAGGAGAGCTTTTACACCTATTGTGGAAAAGGAAATATCTTCACATAAAAACTACACAGAAGAATTCTGAAAAAATTTTGTGTGGTGTGTATTCAACTCACGGAATTGAACATTTCTTTTGATTGAACAGTTTTGAAATACTTTTTGTTGAATCTTCAAGTGGATATTTGGAGTCCTTTGAGGCCTATTGTGGAGAAGGAATTATCTTTACATAAAAACTACACAGAAGCATTCTGAGAAACTTCTTTATGATTTGTATATTCAACTTTCAGGGTTGAACCTATCTTTTGATTGAGCAGTTTAGTATCTCTCTTTTTGTAGAATCTGCAAGTGGATATTTGGAGCTCTTTGCTCCCTGTGGTGGAAAAGGGAATATCTTCAAATAAAACCTACACAGAAGCATTCTCAGAAATTTCTTCATGATGTGTGCATTCAACTCACAGAATTGAACCTATGCTTTGATTGAGCAGTTTGAATCTCTCTTGCTGTAGATTCTGCAAGTGGATATTTGGAGCACTTTGAGGCCTATAGCTGAAAAGGAAATGTCTTCACATAAAAACTAGACAGAAGCATTCTGAGAAACTTCTTTGGGATATGTGCATTCAACTCACAGCGTTGAACCTATCTTATGATTGAGTAGTTTTGAAACACTTTTTTTGTAGAATCTGCAGGTGGATATTTGGAGTGCCTTGAGGTCTATTGTGGAAAAGGTAATATCTTCACATAAAAACTATACAGAAACATGCTGAGAAACTACTTTGTGATGTGTGCATTCATCTCACAGAGTTGAACCTTTTTTTTATTGAGCACTTTTGAAACACTGTTTG
>NT_187492.1:0-1451 GCF_000001405.40 Homo sapiens | reverse complement strand
TCATGAGTGAACTCCCCATTCACAATTGCTTCAAAGAGAATAAAATACCTAGGAATCCAACCTACAAAGGGATGTGAAGGACCTCTTTCAAAGAGAACTACAAACCAACTACTCAAGGAAATAAAAGAGGATACAAACAAATGGAAGAACATTCCCACGCTCATGGGTAGGAAGAATCAATATCGTGAAAATGGCCATACTGCCCAAGGTAATTTGCAGATTCAGTGCCATCCCCATCAAGCTACCAATGCCTTTCTTCACAGAATTGGAAAAGCTACTTTAAAGTTCATATGGAACCAAAAAAGAGCCCGCATCACCAAGTCAATCCTAAGCCAAAAGAACAAAGCTGGAGGCATCACACTACCTGACTTCAAACTATACTACAAGGTTCCAGTAACCAAAACAGCATGGTACTGGTACCAAAACAGAGATATAGATCAACGGAACAGAACAGAGCCCTCAGAAATAACGCCGCATATCTACAACTATCTGATCTTTGACAAACCTGAGAAAAACAAGCAATGGGGAAAGGATTCCCTCTTTAATAAATGGTGCTGGGAAAACTGACTAGCCATATGTAGAAAGCTGTCTAGTTTTTATGTGAAGATAATCCCATTTCCAAGGAAGGCTTCAAAGCGCTCTAAATATGCGCCTCCAGATTCTACAAAAAGACTGTTTCAAAACTGCTCTATCAAAAAGATGGTTCAACTCTGTGAGTTGAATGCACACATCACAAATAATTTTCTGAGAATGGCTCCGTCTATTTTTTATGTGAAGGTATTTGCGTTTCCAACGAAGACTTCAAAGCGCTCCAAAGATGTAAATGCAGATTCTACAAAAAGAGTGTTTCAAAACTTCTCTATCTGAAGGAAGGTTCAGTTCTGTGAGTTGAATGCACACATCACAAAGGACTTTCTGACAATGCTTCCATCTAGTTTTTAGGTGAAGATATTCCTATTTCAAACGAAGGCTTCTATTCGCTACAAATATCTACATGCACATTCTACAAAAAGAGTGTTTCCAAACTGCTCTATCAAAAGGAAGGTTCAACTGTGTGAGTTGAATGCACACATCACAAAGTGGTTTCTGAGAATGCTTCTTTCTAGTATTTATATGAAGCTATTCCCGTTTCCAACGAAGGATTCAAAGAGCTCCAAATATCCTCCTGCAGACTTAATAAAAAAGGGCTTCCAAACTGCTCTATCAAAAGTAAAGTTCAACTATGTGAGTTGAATGAACACAACACAAAGAAGTTTCTGAGAATGCTTCCGTCTAGTTTTTATGTGAAGATATTTCCTTTTCCACCATAGCCTTCAAAGCGCTCCAAAAGTCCATTTGCAGATTCGACAAAAAGAGTGTTTCCAGACTGCTCTATCAAAAGAAAGGTTCAACTATGGGAGTAGAATGCACACATCACAAAGTCGCTTCTGAGAATGCTTCTGTCTAGTTTT
>NT_187491.1:0-1650 GCF_000001405.40 Homo sapiens | reverse complement strand
ACTTTCAGGGTTGACCTATCTTTTGATTGAGCAGTTTAGTATCTCTCTTTTTGTAGAATCTGCAAGTGGATATTTGGAGCTCTTTGCTCCCTGTGGTGGAAAAGGGAATATCTTCAAATAAAACCTACACAGAAGCATTCTCAGAAATTTCTTCATGATGTGTGCATTCAACTCACAGAATTGAACCTATGCTTTGATTGAGCAGTTTGAATCTCTCTTGCTGTAGATTCTGCAAGTGGACATTTGGAGCACTTTGAGGCCTATAGCTGAAAAGGAAATGTCTTCACATAAAAACTAGACAGAAGCATTCTGAGAAACTTCTTTGGGATATGTGCACTCAACTCACAGCGTTGAACCTATCTTATGATTGAGTAGTTTTGAAACACTTTTTTTGTAGAATCTGCAGGTGGATATTTGGAGTGCCTTGAGGTCTATTGTGGAAAAGGTAATATCTTCACATAAAAACTATACAGAAACATGCTGAGAAACTACTTTGTGATGTGTGCATTCATCTCACAGAGTTGAACCTTTTTTTTATTGAGCACTTTTGAAACACTGTTTTTGAAGAATCTACAGGTGGATATTTGGAGCACTTTGAGGCCTACTGTGGAAAAGAAAATATCTTCACATAAATAATACACAGAAGCATTTTGAGAAACTACTTCATGATGTGCACATTCATCTCACAGAGTTGAACATTTCTTATGATTGAGCAGACTGGAAACATTCTTTTTGTAGAATCTGCAAGTGGTTATTTGGAGTGCTTTGAGTCCTAATGTGGAAAAGGAAATATCTTCACATAAAAACTACTCAGAAGAATTCAGAGAAACTTCTTTTTGATGTGTGCATTCACCTCACATAGTTGATCCTTTCTTTTGATTGAGCAGGCTTGAAGCACTCTTTTTCCTTTTTTATTTCATTTTTTATTATTTTTTTATTTTTTTTTATTTTTTTATTATTATACTTTAAGTTTTAGGGTACATGTGCACAATGTGCATGTTAGTTACATATGTAGCACTCTATTGATAGAACCCAGAAGTGGATATTTGGAGGACTTTGAGGCCTATTTTGGAAAAGAAATATCATCACCTAAAAACTACACAGAAATATTCTGAGATACTTCTTTGTTATGTGTGCATTAAACTCACAGAACTGAAGGTATGTTTTGGTTGAGCAGTTTGGAGTCTCTCTTTTTGGACAATCTGAAAGTGGACATTTGGAGCGCTTTGAGGCCTACTGTGGAAAAGCAAATATCTTCACATAAAAACTACACAGAAGCATTCTGAGGAACTTCTCTGTGATGTGTGCATTCAACTCACAGAGTCCAACCTATCTTTTGATTGAGCAGTTTTGAATCTCTCTTTTTGAAGAATCTGCAAGTGGATATTTTGAGCCCTATGCGGCCTATGGTGGAAAAAGAAATATCTTCAAATAAAAACTAAACAGAAGCATTCTGAGAAACTTCTTTGTGATATTTGCATTCATCTCACAGCGTTGAACGTATCTTATGATTGAGCAGTTTTGTAACACTCTTTTTGTAGAATCTGCAAGTGGATGTTTGGAGTGCCTTGAGGCCTATTGTGGAAAAGGAAATATCTTCACATAAAAACTACATGGAAGCATTCTGAGAAACTTCTTTGTGATGTGTGC
>NT_187490.1:0-2656 GCF_000001405.40 Homo sapiens | reverse complement strand
TTCTGTCTAATGTTTATGTGAAGATATTTCCTTTTCCACCATAGGCCTCAAATCAGTCAAAATATCCACTTGCAGATTATACAAAAAGAGAATTTCAAAACTGCTCAATCTAAAGAAAGGTTTATCTCTGTGAGATGAATGCACACATCACAAAGAAGTTTCTCAGATTGCTTCTGTCTAGATTTTATGTGAAGATATTTCCTTTGCCGCCATAGGCCACAAAGAGCTCCAAATGTCCACTTGCAGATTCTACAAAAACAGTGCTTCCAAACTGTTCAATCAAAAGAAAGTTTCAACTCTGTGAGATGAATGCACACATAACAAAGTAGTTTCTCGAATTATTCTGTCTAGTTTTTATGCGAAGACGTTTCCTTTTCCACCTTAGGCCTTAAAGCACTCCAAATGTCCACTTGCATATTCTACAAAAAGAGAGTTCAAAACTGCTCAATCAAGAGAAAGGTTTAACTCTGTGAGATGAATGTACCCAGCACAAAGAAGTTTCTCAGATTCCTTCTTACTAGATTTTAGTTGAAGATTTTGCCTTTTCTACCATAGGCTCCAGAGCGCTCCAAATGTCCACTAGCAGATTCTACAAAAAGAGTGTTTCCAAACTGCTCAATCAAAAGAGAGGTTCAACTCGGTGAGATGAACGCACACATCACAAAGAAGTTTCTCAGAATGCTTCCGTCTAGTATGTATGTGAAGATATTACCTTTTCTACCATTGGCAGCAAAGTGTGCCAAATGTCCCCTTGCAGATACTGCAAAAAGAGTGTTTCCAAACTATTCAAATAAAAGAGAGTTTCAACTATGTGAGATGAATGCACACATCAAAAAGAAGTTTCTCCGAATGCTTCTGTGTAGTTTTTATGTGAAGATATTTGCTTTTCCACAGTAGGCCTCAAAGCTCTCCAAATTTCCACTTGCAGATTCTCCAAAAAGAGAGATTAAAAACTGCTCATTCAAAGCATGGGTTCAACACTGTGAGTTGAATGCACACATAACAAAGAAGTTTCTCAGAATCCTTCTGTGTAGTTTTTATGTGAAGATATTTCCTTTTCCAAAAGAGGACTCAAAGCCCTCCAAACATCCACTTCCAGATTCTTCAAAAAGTGTTTCAAAACTGCTCAATCAAAAGAAAGGATCAACTCTGTGAGATGAGTGCCCATATCACAAACAACTTTCTCAGAATGCTTCTGTGTAGTTTTATGTGAAGATATTTCCTTTTCCACAAACGGCTTCAAAGCCCTCCAAATATACACTTGCAGATTCTATAAAAAGAGTGTTTCCAAACTGCTCAATCATAAGAGGTTCTATCCAGTGTGATGAATGCACACATCACAAAGAAGTTTCTCAGAATGCTTTTCTGTAGTTTTTATTTGAAGATATTTCCTTTTCCTCCATAGGCCACAAAGGGCTCCAAATATCCACTTGCAGATACTACAAAAAGAGAGATTCAAAACAGCCCAATCAAAAGATAGGTTCCACTATCTGAGTTGAATGCACACATCACAAAGAAGCTTCTCAGAATTCTTCTGTGTGGTTTTTGTGTGAAGATATTTCATTTTCCACAGTAGGCCTCAAAGCTCTACTAATACCCACTTGCAGATTCTGCCAAAAGGGAGATTCAAAACTGCTCAATCAAAAGATAGGTTCGACTCTGTGAGTTGAATGCACCTCTCACATCGAAGTTTCTCAGAATGCTTCTGTGTAGTTTTCATGTGAATATATTTGCTTTTCCACAGTAGGCCTCAAAGCGCTCCAAATATCCACTTGCAGATTTTACAGAAACAGTGTTTCAAAACTGTTCAATCAAAAGAAAAGATCAACTCTGTGAGATGATTGCACACATCACAAAGAAGTTTCTCAGAATGCTTCCATGTAGTTTTTATGTGAAGATATTTCCTTTTCCACAATAGGCCTCAAGGCACTCCAAACATCCACTTGCAGATTCTACAAAAAGAGTGTTACAAAACTGCTCAATCATAAGATACGTTCAACGCTGTGAGATGAATGCAAATATCACAAAGAAGTTTCTCAGAATGCTTCTGTTTAGTTTTTATTTGAAGATATTTCTTTTTCCACCATAGGCCGCATAGGGCTCAAAATATCCACTTGCAGATTCTTCAAAAAGAGAGATTCAAAACTGCTCAATCAAAAGATAGGTTAGACTCTGTGAGTTGAATGCACACATCACAGAGAAGTTCCTCAGAATGCTTCTGTGTAGTTTTTATGTGAAGATATTTGCTTTTCCACAGTAGGCCTCAAAGCGCTCCAAATGTCCACTTTCAGATTGTCCAAAAAGAGAGACTCCAAACTGCTCAACCAAAACATACCTTCAGTTCTGTGAGTTTAATGCACACATAACAAAGAAGTATCTCAGAATATTTCTGTGTAGTTTTTAGGTGATGATATTTCTTTTCCAAAATAGGCCTCAAAGTCCTCCAAATATCCACTTCTGGGTTCTATCAATAGAGTGCTACATATGTAACTAACATGCACATTGTGCACATGTACCCTAAAACTTAAAGTATAATAATAAAAAAATAAAAAAAAATAAAAAAATAATAAAAAATGAAATAAAAAAGGAAAAAGAGTGCTTCAAGCCTCCTCTAATCAAAAGAAAGGATCAACTATGTGAGGTGAATGCACACATC
>NT_187489.1:0-1136 GCF_000001405.40 Homo sapiens | reverse complement strand
ACATAAAAACTAGACAGAAGAATTCTGAGAAACTTCTTTGTGGTGTGTGTGTTGTCTCCCAGAGTTGAACCTTTCTTTGATTGAGAAGTTTGGAAAAACTCTTTTTGTAATATCTGCAAGAGGACGATTTTACGCTTTGGGGTCTATGGTAGAAAAGTAAATATCTTCACATAAAATGTAGACAAAAGCAATCTGAGAAACTTCTTGTGATGTGGGCATTCATCTCCCAAAATCAAAAGTTTCTTTTGATTGAGAAGTTTTGAAACTCTCTTTTTGTAGAGTTTGCAGGGGACATTTGGATTGCCTTGAGGCCTATGATGGAAAAGGAAATAGCTTCACATGAAAACTAGACAGAAGAATTCTGAGAAACCACTTTGTGACGTGTGCATTCATCCCACAGAGTTGAACCTCTCTTTTTATTGAGCAGTTTGGAAACACTCTTTTTGTAGAATCTGCAAGTGTACATTTGGAGTGCTTTGCAGCCCATGGTAGAAAAAAAATATCTTCACATAAAATCTAGACAGAAGCAATCTGGGAAACTTCTTTGTGATGTGTGCATTCATCTCACAAAGTTAAAACTTTCTTTTGATTGAGTAGTTTTGAAACACTCTTTTTGAAGACTCTGCAAGTGGACATTTGGAGCACTTTGAGGCCTATGGTGGAAAAGGAAATATCTCCACATAAAAACTAGACAGAAGAATTCTGAGAAACTTCTCTGTGATGCTTGTATTCATCTCAAATAGTTGAACCTTTCTTTCGATTGAGCAGTTTGGAAACACTCTTTTGGTAGAATCTGCAATTTCAAATTTGGAGCTATTTGCGGCCTATGGTAGAGAAGGAAATATCTTCACATACAATCTAGACAGAAGCAATCTGAGAAACTGCTTTGTGATGTGTGCATTCATCTTACAGAGTTAAACCTTACTTTTGATTGAGCCGTTTTTGAAACTCTGTTTTTGTAGAATCTGCAAGTGTGCATTTGGATCGCTTTGAGGCCTAGGGTGGAAAAGGAAATATTTTCTCATAAAAACTAGAGAGAAGAATTCGGAAAAACTTCTTTGTGACATGTGCGTTCATCTCACAGAGTTGAAACTCTCTTTTGATTGAGCAGTTTTGCAACACTCTTTTGTAGAATT
>NT_187488.1:0-4215 GCF_000001405.40 Homo sapiens | reverse complement strand
AAGGTTCATCTCTGTTAGTTGAATACACACATCACAAGCAAGTTTCTGAGAATGCTTCTGTCTAGTTTTTATGGGAAGATATTTCCATTTTCACCATAGCCCTCAAAGCGCTCCAAATGTCCACTTCCAGGTAGTGCAGAAAGTGTGTTTGAAACCTGCTCTATAAAAGGGAATATTCTACTCTGTGACTTGAATGCAAACATCACAAAGCACTTTCTGAGAATGTTTCCGTCTAGATTTTATATGAAGATGTTGCCGTTTCCAAGGAAATCTTCCTAGCTATCTAAATATCAACTTGCAGATTCTACTAAAGGAATGTTTCCAAAGTGCTGTATCCACACAAAGGTTCAACTCTGTTAATTGAGGACATACAGCACAAAGAAGTTTCTGAGAATGCTTCTGTCTAGTTTTTATTTGAAGATATTTCCTTTCTCACCATAGGCCTGAAAGCGCTTGAAATGTCCGCTTGCAGATACTACAGAAAGAGTTTTTCAAACATGCTCTATGAAAGGGAATATTCAGTTCTGTGACGTGAATGCAAACATCACAAAGAAGTTCCTGAGAATGCTTCTCTCTAGATTTTATATGTAATCCCGTTTCCAACGAAATCCTCAAAGCTATCCAAATATCCACTTTCAGATTCCAGAAAAAGAGTGTTTCAAAACTGCTCTGTAAAAAGAAAGGTTCATCTCTGTTAGTTGAATTCACACATCAGAAACAAGTTTCTGAGAATGGTTCTGTCTAGTTTTTATGGGAAGATATTTCCTTTTCCAACATAGGCCTCAAAGCGCTCAAAATGTCCACTTCCAGGTAGTGCACAGACTGTTTCAAACCTGCTCTATAAAAGGAAACATTCTACTCTGTGACTTGAATGAAAACATCACAAAGCAGTTTCTGAGAATGCATCCGTCTAGATTTTATATGAAGATATTCCCGTTTCCAAGGAAATCTTCCTAGCTATCTAAATATCAACTTGCAGATAGTAATAAAGGAATGTTTCCAAAATGCTGTATCCACACAAAGGTTCAACTCTGTTAATTGAGGACATACAGCACAAAGAAGTTTCTGAGAATGCTTCTGTCTAGATTTTATATGAAGATATCCCGTTTCCAAAGAAATCCTCAAAGGTATCCAAATATCTACTTGCAGATTCTACAAAAAGAGTGTTTCTAACCTGCTCTATGAAGGGAAGTGTTCAACTCTATGAGTTTAATGCAAACATCACAGAGAAGTTTCTGAGAATGCTTCTGTCTTGATTTTATATGATGATATTCCCGTTTCCAACGAAACCTTCAAAGCTATCCAAATATCCACCAGCAGATTCTACAAAAAGAGTGTTTCCAAAATGCTGTATCAAAACAAAGGTTCAACTCTGTTAGTTGAGAACACACATCGCAAATAAGTTTCTGAGAATGCTTCTGTCTAGTTTTTATTTGAAGATATTTCCTTTCTCACCATAGGCCTGAAAGTACTTGAAAAGTCGCTTGCAGATACTACAAAAAGAGTGTTTCAAACCTGCTCTATGAAAGGGAATGTTCAGTTCTGTGACTTGAATGCAAACATCACAAAGAAGTTCCTGAGAATGCTTCTCTCTAGATTTTATATGTAATCCCCTTTCCAACGAAATCCTCAAAGCTATCCAAATATCCACTGTCAGATTCCATAAAAAGAGTGTTTTAAAACTGCTCTGTAAAAAGAAAGGTTCATCTCTGTTAGTTGAATACACATATCACAAACAAGTTTCTGAGAATGCTTGTGTCTAGTTTTTATGGGAAGATATTTCCATTTTCAACATAGCCCTCAAAGCGCTCCAAATGTCTACTTCCAGGTAGTGCAGAAAGAGTGTTTCAAACCGGCTCCATAAAAGCGAATATTCTACTCTGTGACTTGAATGCAAACATCACAAAGCACTTTCTGAGAATGCTTCCGTCTAGATTTTATATGAAGATATTCCCGTTTCCAAGGAAATCTTCCTAGCTAACTAAATATCCACTTGCAGATTCTACTAAAGGAAAGTTTCCAAAATGCTGTATCCAAACAAAGGTTCAACGCTGTTAATTGAGGACATACAGCACAAAGTAGTTTCTGAGAATGCTTCTGTCTTGATTTTATATGAAGATATCCCGTTTCCAACGAAATCCTCAAAGGTATCCAAATATCTACTTGCAGATTCTCCAAAAAGAGTGTTTCAAAATGGCTCTGTCAAAAGGAAGGTTCAACTCTGTTACTTGAGTACACACATCACAAGGAAGTTTCTGAGAATACTTCTGTCTGATTTTTAGGAGAAGATATTTCCTTTTTCACCATAGGCCTCAAAGTGCTGCCAATGTCCACTTCCAAATATTACAAAAAGAGTGTTTCAAACCTGCTCTATGAAAGGAAGTGTTCAACACCATGAGTTGAATGCAAACATAACAGAGAAGTTTCTGAGAATGCTTCCTTCTTGATTTTATATGAAGATATTCCCGTTTCCAACGAAACCTTCAAATCTATCCAAGTATCCACCTGCAGATTCTACCAAAAGAGTGTTTCCAAAGTGCTGTATCAAAAAAAAGGTTCAACTCTGTTAGTTGAGGACACACATCGCAAATAAGTATCTGAGAATGCTTCTGTCTAGTTTTTATTTGAAGATATTTCCTTTCTCACCATAGGCCTGAAAGCGCTTGAAATGTCCGCTTGCAGGTAGTATAGAAAGAGTGTTTCAAACATGCTCTATGAAAAGGAAAGTTCAGTTCTGTGACGTGAATGCAAACATCACAAAGAAGTTCCTGAGAATGCTTCTCTCTAGATTTTATATGTAATCCCGTTTCCAACGAAATCCTCAAAGCTATCCAAATATCCACTTTCAGATTCCACAAAAAGAGTGTTTAAAAACTGCTCTGTAAAAAGAAAGGTTCATCTCTGTTAGTTGAATACACACATCACAAACAAGTTTCTGAGAATGCTTCTGTCTAGTTTATATGGGAAGATATTTCCTTTTTCAACATAGGCCTCAAAGCGCTCCAAATGTCCACTTCCAGGTAGTGCAGAAAGAGTGTTTGAAACCTGCTCTATAAAAGGGAACATTCTACTCTGTGACTTGAATGAAAACATCACAAAGCAGTTTCTGAGAATGCTTCCGTCTAGATTTTATATGAAGATATTCCCGTTTCCAAGGAAATCTTCCTAGCAATCTAATTATCAACTTGCAGATTCTACTAAAGGAATGTTTCCAAAATGCTGTATGGAAACAAAGGTTCAAATCTGTTAATTGAGGACATACAGCACAAAGAAGTTTCTGAGAATGCTTCTGTCTAGATTTTATATGAAGATATCCCGTGTCCAACGAAATCCTCAAAGGTATCAAAATATCCACTTGCAGATTCTACAGAAAGAGTGTTTCAAAACTGCTCTGTCAAAAGGAAGGTTCAACTCTGTTACTTGAGTACACACATCACAAGGAAGTTTCTGAGAATGCTTCTGTCTGGTTTTTAGGAGAAGATATTTCCTTTTTCACCATAGGCCTCAAAGCGCTGCCAATGTCCACTTCCAAATATTACAAAAAGGGTGTTTCATACCTGCCCTATGAAAGGAAGTGTTCCACTCTATGAGTTGAATGCAAACATCACAGAGAAGTTTCTGAGAATGCTTCTGTCTTGATTTTATGTGAAGATATTCCCGTTTCAAACGAAACCTTCAAAGGTATCCAAGTATCCACCTGCAGATTCTACCAAAAGAGTGTTTCCAAAGTGCTGTATCAAAACAAAGGATCAACTCTGTTAGTTGAGGACACACATCGCAAATAAGTTTCTGAGAATGCTTCTGTCTAGTTTTTATTTGAAGATATTTCCTTTCTCACAATAGGCCTGAAAGCGCTTGAAATGTCCGCTTGCAGATACTACAGAAAGAGTGTTTCAAACATGCTCTATGAAAGGGAATGTTCAGTTCTGTGACGTGAATGCAAACATCACAAAGAAGTTCCTGAGAATGCTTCTCTCTAGATTTTATATGTAATCCCGTTTCCAACGAAATCCTCAAAGCTATCCAAATATCCACTTTCAGATTCCACAAAAAGAGTGTTTCAAAACTGCTCTGTAAAAAGAAAGGTTCATCTCTGTTAGTTGAATACACACATCACAAACAAGTTTCTGAGAATGCTTCTGTCTAGTTTTTATGGGAAGATATTTCCCTTTTCAACATAGCGCTCAAAGCGCTCCAAATGTCCACTTCCAGGTA
>NT_187487.1:0-990 GCF_000001405.40 Homo sapiens | reverse complement strand
CACACATCACAACAAGTTTCTGAGAATGCTCTGTTTAGTTTTATGGGAAGATATTCCTTTTTCAACATAGGCCTCAAAGCGCTGCAAAAGTCTTCTTCAGGTAAGTGCAGAAAGAGTGTTTCAAACCTGCTCTATAAAAGGGAATATCAACTCTGTGACTTGAATGCAAACATCACAAAGCACTTTCTGAGAATGCTTCCGTCTAGATTTATATGAAGATATTCCGTTTCCAAGGAAATCTTCCTAGTTATCTAAATATCAACTTGCATATCCTACTAAAGGGGTGTTTCCAAAATGCTGTATCCACACAAAGGTTCAACTCTGCTAATTGAGGACATACAGCACAAAGAAGTTTCTGAGAATGCTTCTGTCTAGATTTTATATGAAGATATCCCGTTTCCAAAGAAATCCTCAAAGGTGTCCAAATATCTACTTCCAGATTCTACAAAAAGACTGTTTCAAAACGGCTCTGTCAAAAGTAAGGTTCAACTCTGTTACTTGAGTACACACATCACAAGGAAGTTTCTGAGAATGCTTCTGTCTGGTTTTCAGGAGAAGATATTTCCTTTTTCAACATAGGCCTCAAAGCGCTGCAAATGTCCACTTCCAAATATTACAAAAAGAGTGTTTCAAACCTGCTCTATGAAGGGAAGTGTTCAACTCTATGAGTTGAATGCAAACATCACAGAGAAGTTTCTGAGAATGCTTCTGTCTTGATTTTATATGAAGATATTCCCGTTTCCAACGAAACCTTCAAAGCTATCCAATTATCCACTTGCAGATTCTACAAAAAGAGTGTTTCCAAAATGTTGTATCAGAACAAAGGTTCAACTCTGTTAGTTGAGGACACACATCGCAAATAAGTTTCTGAGAATGCTTCTCTCTAGTTTTTATTTGAAGATATTTCCTTTCTTACCATAGGCCTGAAAGCGCTTGAAATGTCCGTTTTCAGATACTACAGAAAGAGTGTTTCAAACATGCTCTATGAAA
>NT_187486.1:0-1930 GCF_000001405.40 Homo sapiens | reverse complement strand
GAATGTTCCCTTTTATATACCAGGTTTGAGACACTCTTTCTGCACTACATGGAAGTGGACATTTGGAGCGCTTTGAGGCCTATGATGAAAAAGGAAATATCTTCCCATAAAAACTAGACAGAAGCATTCTCAGAAACTTGTTTGTGATGTGTGTATTCAACTAACAGAGATGAACCTTTCTTTTTACAGAGCAGTTTTGAAACACTCTTTTTGTGGAATCTGAAAGTGGATATGTGGATAGCTTTGACGATTTCGTTGGAAACGGGATTACATATAAAATCTAGAGAGAAGCATTCTCAGGAATTTCTTTGTGATGTTTGCATTCAAGTCACAGAACTGAACATTCCCTTTCATAGAGCATGTTTGAAACACTCTTTCTGTAGTATCTGCAAGCGGACATTTCAAGCGCTTTCAGGCCTATGGTGAGAAAGGAATTATCTTCAAATAAAAACTAGACAGAAGCATTCTCAGAAACTTATTTGCGATGTGTGTCCTCAACTAACAGAGTTGAACCTTTGTTTTGATACAACATTTTGCAAACACTCTTTTGGGAGAATCTGCAGGTGAATACTTGGATAGCTTTGAAGGTTTCTTTAGAAACGGGAATATCTTCATATAAAATCAAAACAGAAGCATTCTCAGAAACTTCTCTGTGATGTTTGCATTCAACTCATAGAGTTGAACACTTCCTTTCATAGAGCACGTTTGAAACACTCTTTGTGATATTCGGAAGTGGACTTTAGCACCGCTTTGAGGCCGATGGTGAAAAAGGTAATATCTTCTCCTAAAAACCAGACAGAAGCATTTTCAGAAACTTCCTTGTGATGAGTGTACTCAAATAACAGAGTTGAACCTTCCTTTTACAGAGCCGTTTTGAAACACTCTTTTTGTAGAATCTGCAAGTAGATATTTGGATACCTTTGAGGATTTCTTTGGAAACGGGATATCTTCATATAAAATCTAGACAGAAGCATTCTCAGAAACTTCTTCTTGCTGTGTGTCCTCCATTAACAGAGTTGAACCTTTGTGTGGATACAGCATTTTGGAAACATTCCTTTAGTAGAATCTGCAAGTTGATATTTAGATAGCTAGGAAGATATCCTTGGAAACGGGAATATCTTCATATAAAATCTAGACGGAAGCATTCTCAGAAACTGCTTTGTGATGTCTTCATTCAAGTCACAGAGTAGAATGTTCCCTTTTATAGAGCAGGTTTGAAACACTCTGTGCACTACGTGGAAGTGGACATTGGGAGCGCTTTGAGGCCTATGTTGAAAAAGGAAATATCTTCCCATAAAAACTAGACAGAAGCATTCTCAGAAACTTGTTTGTGATGTGTGTATTCAACTAACAGAGATGAACCTTTCTTTTTACAGAGCAGTTTTGAAACACTCTTTTTGTGGAATCTGAAAGTGGATATTTGGATAGCTTTGAGGGTTTCGTTGGAAACGGGATTACATATAAAATCTAGGGAGAAGCATTCTCAGGAACTTCTTTGTGATATTTGCATTCAAGTCACAGAACTGAACATTCCCTTTCATAGAGCAGCTTTGAAACACTCTTTCTGTAGCATCTGCATGCGGACGTTTCAAGCGCTTTCAGGCCTGTGGTGAAAAAGGAAATATCTTCAAATAAAAACTAGACAGAAGCATTCTCAGAAACTTATTTGCGATGTGTGTTCTCAACTAACAGAGTTGAACCTTTGTTTTGATACAGCATTTTGGAAACACTCTTTTTGTAGGATCTGCAGGTGGATATTTGGATAGCTTTGATGGTTTCGTTGGAAACGGGAATATCCTCATATAAAATCAAGACAGAAGCATTCTCAGAAACTTCTCTGTGATGTTTGCCTTCAACTCATAGAGTTGAACACTTCCTTTCATAGAGCAGGTTTGAAACACTCTGTGCACTACCTGGGAGTGGACATTTG
>NT_187485.1:0-971 GCF_000001405.40 Homo sapiens | reverse complement strand
ACGAAAACTTCAAAGCTATCCAAATATCCACCTGCAGATCCTACAAAAAGAGTGTTTCCAAAATGCTGTATCAAAACAAATGTTCAACTCTGTTAGTTGAGAACACACATCGCAAATAAGTTTCTGAGAATGCTTCTGTCTAATTTTTATTTGAAGATATTTCCTTTTTCACCACAGGCCTGAAAGCGCTTGAAACGTCCACTTGCAGATACTACAGAAAGAGTGTTTCAAACCTACTCTATGAAAGGGAATATTCAACTCTGTGACTTGAATGCAAACATCACAAAGCACTTTCTGAGAATGCTTCCGTCTAGATTTTATATGAAGATATTCCCGTTTCCAAGGAAATCTTCCTAGCTATCTGAATATCAACTTGCAGATTCTACTAAAGGAATGTTTCCAAAATGCTGTATCGAAACAAAGGTTCAACTCTGTTAATTGAGGACATACAGCACAAAGAAGTTTCTGAGAATGCTTCTGTCTAGATTTTATATGAAGATATCCAGTGTCCAACGAAATCCTCAAAGGTATCAAAATATCCACTTGCAGATTCTACAAAAAGAGTGCTTCAAAACTGCTCTGTCAAATTGAAGGTTCAACTGTGTTACTTGAGTACACACATCACAAGAAAGATTCTGAGAATGCTTCTGTATGGTTTTTAGGAGAAGATATCTCCTTTTTCACCACAGGCTTCAAAGCGCTGCCAATGTCCACTTCCAAATATTACAAAAAGAGTATTTCAAACCAGCTCTATGAAAGGAAGTGTTCAACTCTGTGAGTTCAATGCAAACATCACAGAGAAGTTTCTGAGAAGGCTTCTGTATTGATTTTATATGAAGATATTCCCGTTTCCAACGAAACCTTCAAAGCTATCCAAATATCCACCTGCAGATCCTACAAAAAGAGTGTTTCCAAAATGCTGCATCAAAACAAAGGTTCAACTCTGTTAGTTGAGAACACACATCGCAAAT
>NT_187484.1:0-1658 GCF_000001405.40 Homo sapiens | reverse complement strand
GACTTATTTGCGATGTGTGTTCTCAACTAACAGAGTTGAACCTTTGTTTTGATACAGCATTTTGGAAACACTCTTGTTGTAGGATCTGCAGGTTGATATTTGGATAGCTTTGAACGTTTCGTTGGAAACGGGAATATCCCCATATAAAATCAAGACAGAAGCATTCTCAGAAACTTCTCTGTGATGTTTGCATTCAACTCATAGAGTTGAACACTTCCTTTCATAGAGCATGTTTGAAACACTCTGTGCACTACCTGGAAGTGGACATTTGGAGCGCTTTGAGGCCTATGTTGAAAAAGGAAATATCTTCTCATAAAAACTAGACAGAAACATTCTCAGAAACTTGTTTGTGATGTGTGTATTCAACTAACAGAGATGAACCTTTCTTTTTACAGAGCAGTTTTGAAACACTCTTTTTGTGGAATCTGAAAGTGGATATTTGGATAGCTTTGAGGATTTCGTTGGAAACGGGATTACTTATAAAATATAGGGAGAAGCATTCTCAGGAACTTCTTTGTGATGTTTGTATTCAAGTCACAGAACTGAACATTCCGTTTCATAGAGCAGGTTTGAAACACTCTTTCTGTAGTATCTACAAGCGGACGTTTCAAGCGCTTTCAGGCCTGTGGTGAAAAAGGAAATATCTTCAAATAAAAAGTAGACAGAAGCATTCTCAGAAACTTATTTGCGATGTGTGTTCTCAACTAACAGAGTTGAACCTTTGTTTTGATACAGCATTTTGGAAACACTCTTTTTGTAGGATCTGCAGGTGGATATTTGGATAGCTTTGAAGGTTTCGTTGGAAACGGGAATATCCTCATATAAAATCAACACAGAAGCATTCTCAGAAACTTCTCTGTGATGTTTGCATTCAACTCATAGAGTTGAACACTTCCCTTCATACAACAGGTTTGAAACACTCTTTTTGTAATATTTGGAAGTGGACATTTGCAGCGCTTTGAGGCCTATGTTGAAAAAGGAAATATCTTCTACTAAAAACCAGACAGAAGCATTCTCAGAAACTTCCTTGTGATGTGTGTACTCAAGTATCAGAGTTGAACATTACTTTTGACAGAGCCGTTTTGAAACAGTCTTTTTGTAGAATCTGGAAGTAGATATTTGGATAGCTTTGAGGATTTCTTTGGAAACGGGATATCTTCATATAAAATCTAGACAGAAGCATTCTCAGAAACTTCTTTGTGCTGTATGTCCTCAATTAACAGAGTTGAACCTTTGTGCGGATACAGCACTTTGGAAACACTCCTTTAGTAGAATCTGCAAGTTGATATTTAGATAGCTAGGAAGATTTCCTTGGAAACGGGAATATCTTCACATAAAATCTAGACGGAAGCATTCTCAGAAACTTCTCTGTGATGCTTGCATTCAACTCATAGAGTTGAACACTTCCTTTCATAGAGCTGGTTTGAAATACTCTTTTTGTAATATTTGGAAGTGGACATTGGCAGCGCTTTGAAGCCTAAGTTGAAAAAGGAAATATCTTCTCCTAAAAACCAGACAGAAGCATTCTCAGAAACTTCCTTGTGATGTGTGTACTCAAGTAACAGAGTTGAACCTTACTTTTGACAGAGCCGTTTTGAAACAGTCTTTTTGTAGAATCTGGAAGTAGATATTTGGATACCTTTGAGGATTTCTTTGGA
>NT_187483.1:0-1308 GCF_000001405.40 Homo sapiens | reverse complement strand
CTAGGGAGAGCATTCTCAGGAACTTCTTTGTGATGTTTGCATTCAACTCACAGAACTGAACATTCCCTTTCATAGAGCAGGTTTGAAACACTCTTTCTGTAGTATCTGCAAGCGGACGTTTCAAGCGCTTTCAGGCCTGTGGTGAAAAAGGAAATATCTTCAAATAAAAACTAGACAGAAGCATTCTCAGAAACTTATTTGCGATGTGTGTTCTCAGCTAACAGAGTTGAACTTTGTTTTGATACAGCATTTTGGAAACACTCTTTTTGTAGGATCTGCAGGTGGATATTTGGATAGCTTTGAAGGTTTCTTTGGAAACGGGAATATCTTCATATAAAATCAACACAGAAGCATTCTCAGAAACTTCTCTGTGATGTTTGCATTCAACTCATAGAGTTGAACACTTCCTTTCATAGAGCTGGTTTGAAATATTCTTTTTGTAATATTTGGAATGGACATTGGCAGCGCTTTGAAGCTTATGGTGAAAAAGGAGATATCTTCTCCTAAAAACCAGACAGAAGCATTCTCAGAATCTTTCTTGTGATGTGTGTACTCAAGTAACAGAGTTGAACCTTCATTTTGAGAGAGCAGTTTTGAAGCACTCTTTTTGTAGAATCTACAAGTGGATATTTTGATACCTTTGAGGATTTCGTTGGACACGGGATATCTTCATATAAAATCTAGACAGAAGCATTCTCAGAAACTTCTCTGTGATGTTTGCATTCAACTCATAGAGTTGAACCCTTCCCTTCATACAGCAGGTTTGAAACACTCTTTTTCTAATATTTGGAAGTGGACATTTGCAGCGCTTTGGGGCCTATGTTGAAAAAGGAAATATCTTCTCCTAAAAACCAGACAGAAGCATTGTCAGAAACTTCCTTGTGATGTGTGTACTCAAGTTACAGAGTTGAACCTTCCTTTTGACAGAGCAGTTTTGAAGCACTCTTTTTGTAGAATCTGCAAGTGGATATTTTGATACCTTTGAGGATTTCGTTGGACACGGGATATCTTCATATAAAATCTAGACAGAAGGATTCTCAGAAACTTCTTTGTGCTGTATGTCCTCAATTAACAGAGTTGAACCTTTGTGTGGATACAGCATTTTGGAAATATTCCTTTAGTAGAATCTGCAAGTTGATATTTAGATAGCTAGGAAGATTTCCTTGGAAACGGGACTATCTTCACATAAAATCTAGACGGAAGCATTCTCAGAAACTGCTTTGTGATGTCTTCATTCAAGTCACAGAGTAGAATGTTCCCTTTTATAGAGCAGGTTTGAAACACTCAGTGCACTACCTGGAAGTGGAC
>NT_187482.1:0-1750 GCF_000001405.40 Homo sapiens | reverse complement strand
TTTATAGAGCAGGTTTGAACACTCTGTGCACTACCTGGAAGTGGACATTGGGTGCGCTTTGAGGCCTATGTTGAAAAAGGAAATATCTTCCCATCAAAACTAGACAGAAGCATTCTCAGAAACTTGTTTGTGATGTGTGTATTCAACTAACAGAGATGAACCTTTCTTTTTACAGAGCAGTTTTGAAACACTCTTTTTGTGGAATCTGAAAGTGGATATTTGGATGGCTTTGAGGATTTCGTTGGAAACGGGATTACATATAAAACCTAGAGAGAAGCATTCTCAGGAACTTCTTTGTGATGTTTGCATTCAAGTCACAGAACTGAACATTCCCTTTCATAGAGCAGGTTTGAAACACTCTTTCTGCACTACCTGGAGGTGGACATTTGGAGCGCTTTGAGTCCTATGTTGAAAAAGGAAATATCTTCCCATAAAAACTGGACAGAACCATTCTCAGAAACTTATTTGCGATGTGTGTCCTCAACTAACAGAGTTGAACCTTTGTTTTGATACAGCATTTTGGAAACACTCTTTTTGTAGGATCTGCAGGTGGATATTTGGATAGCTTTTAAGGTTTCGTTGGAAACGGGAATATCTTCATATAAAATCAAGACAGAAGCATTCTCAGAAACTTCTCTGTGATGTTTGCATTCAACTCATAGAGTTGAACACTTCCTTTCATAGAGCAGGTTTGAAACACTCTGTGCACTACCTGGAAGTGGACATTTGGAGCGCTTTGAGGCCTATGTTGAAAAAGGAAATATCTTCCCATAAAAACTAGACAGAAGCATTCTCAGAAACTTGTTTGTGATGTGTGTATTCAACTAACGGAGATGAACCTTTCTTTTTACAGAGCCGTTTTGAAACACTCTTTTTGTAGAATCTGCAAGTAGATATTTCGATACCTTTGAGGATTTCTTTGGAAACGGGATATCTTCATATAAAATCTAGACAGAAGCATTCTCAGAAACTTCTTTGTGCTGTATGTCTTCAATTAACAGAGTTGAACCTTTGTTTGGATACAGCATTTTGGAAACGTTCCTTTAGTAGAATCTGCAAGTTGATATTTAGATAGCTAGGAAGATTTCCTTGGAAACGGGAATATCTTCACATAAAATCTAGACGGAAGCATTCTCAGAAAGTGCTTTGTGATGTTTGCATTCAAGTCACAGAGTTGAATATTCCCTTTTATAGAGCAGGTTTGAAACACTCTTTCTGCACTACCTGGAGGTGGACATTTAGAGCGCTTTGAGGCCTATGTTGAAAAAGGAAATATCTTCCCATAAAAACTAGACAGAAGCATTCTCAGAAACTTCTTTGTGATGTGTGTATTCAACTAACAGAGATGAACCTTTCTTTTTACAGAGCAGTTTTGAAACACTCTTTTTGTGGAATCTGAAAGTGGATATTTGGATAGCTTTGAGGATTTCGTTGGAAACGGGATTACATATAAAATCTAGAGAGAAGCATTCTCAGGAACTTCTTTGTGATGTTTGCATTCAAGTAACAGAACTGAACATTCCCTTTCATAGAGCCGGTTTGAAACACTCTTTCTGTAGTATCTGCAAGCTGACGTTTCAAGCGCTTTCAGGCCTATGGTGAGAAAGGAAATATCTTCAAGTAAAAACTAGACAGAAGCATTCTCAGAACTTATTTGCCATGTGTGTCTCAACTAACAGAGTGATCTTTGTTTTGATACAGCATTTGGAAACACTCTTTTTGTAGGATCTACAGGTGGATATTTGGATAG
>NT_187481.1:0-1484 GCF_000001405.40 Homo sapiens | reverse complement strand
GCCTATGATGAAAAAGGAAATATCTTCCCATAAAAAGTAGACAGAAGCATTCTCAGAAACTTGTTTCTGATGTGTGTATTCAACTAACAGAGATGAACCTTTCTTTTTACAGAGTAGTTTTGAAACACTCTTTTTGTGGAATCCGAAAGTGGATATTTGGATAGCTTTGAGGAATTCGTTGGAAACGGGATTACATATAAAATGTAGGGAGAAGCATTCTCAGGAACTTCTTTGTGATGTTTGCATTCAAGTCACAGAACTGAACATTCCCTTTCATAGAGCAGGTTTGAAACACTCTTTCTGTAGTATCTGCAAGCGGACGTTTGAAGCGCTTTCAGGCCTGTGGTGAAAAAGGAAATATCTTCAAATAAAAACTAGACAGAAGCATTCTCAGAAACTTATTTGCCATGTGTGTTCTCAACTAAAAGAGTTGAACCTTTGTTTGGATACAACATTTCGGAAACACTCTTTTTGTAGAATCTGCAAGTGGATATTTGGATAGCTTTGAAGGTTTCGTTGGAAACGGGAATATCCCCATATAAACTCAAGACAGAAGCATTCTCAGAAACTTCTCTGTGATGTTTGCATTCAACTCATAGAGTTGAACACTTCCTTTCATAGAGCAGGTTTGAAACACTCTGTACACTACCTGGAAGTGGACATTTGCAGCGCTTTGAGGCCTATGTTGAAAAAGGAAATATCTTCCCATAAAAACTAGACAGAAGCATTCTCAGAAACTTGTTTGTGATGTGTGTATTCAACTAAAAGAGTTGAACCTTTCTTTTGATACAACATTTTGGAAACCCTCTTTTTGTAGAATCTGCAAGTGGATATTTGAATAGCTTTGAAGGTTTCGTTGGAAACGGGAATATCTTCATATAAAATCAAGACAGAAGCATTCTCAGAAACTTCTCGGTGATGTTTGCATTCAACTCATAGAGTTGAACACTTCCCTTCATACAGCAGGTTTGAAACACTCTTTTTGTAGTATCTGCAAGCGGACGTTTGAAGCGCTTTCAGGCCTGTGGTGAGAAAGGAAATATCTTCAAATAAAAACTAGACAGAAGCATTCTCAGAAACTTATTTGCGATGTGTGTCCTCAACTAACAGAGTTGAACCTTTCTTTTGATACAACATTTTGGAAACACTCTTTTTGTAGAATCTGCAAGTGGATATTTGGATAGCTTTGAAGGTTTCGTTGGAAACGGGAATATCTTCATATGAAATCAAGACAGAAGCATTCTCAGAAACTTCTCTGCGATGTTTGCATTCAACTCATAGAGTTGAACACTTCCCTTCATACAGCAGGTTTGAAACTCTCTTTTTCTAATATTTGGAAGTGGACATTTGCAGCGCTTTGAGGCCTATGTTGAAAAAGGAAATATCTTCTCCTAAAAACCAGACAGAAGCATTCTCAGAAACTTCCTTGTGATGTGTGTACTCAAAGTAACAAATTTGAATCTTCCTTTTGACAGAGCAGTTTT
>NT_187480.1:0-1788 GCF_000001405.40 Homo sapiens | reverse complement strand
TTTGCGATGTGTATCCTCAACTAACAGAGTTGAACCTTCTTTTGATACAACATTTTGGAAACACTCTTTTTGTGGAATCTGCAAGTGGATATTTGGATAGCTTTGAAGGTTTCATTGGAAACGGGAATATCTTCATATAAAATCAAGACAGAAGCATTCTCAGAAGCTTCTCTGTGATGTTTGCATTCAACTCATAGAGTTGAACACTTCCCTTCATACAGCAGGTTTGAAACACTCTTTTTGTAATATTTGGAAGTGGACATTTGCAGCGCTTTGAGGCCTATGATGAAAAAGGAAATATCTTCCCATAAAAACTAGACAGAAGCATTCTCAGAAACTTGTTTGTGATGTGTGTATTCAACTAACAGAGATGAACCTTTCTTTTTACAGAGTAGTTTTGAAACACTCTTTTTGTGGAATCCGAAAGTGGATATTTGGATAGCTTTGAGGAATTCGTTGGAAACGGGATTACATATAAAAAGTAGGGAGAAGCATTCTCAGGAACTTCTTTGTGATGTTTGCATTCAAGTCACAGAACTGAACATTCCCTTTCATAGAGCATGTTTGAAACACTCTTTCTGTAGTATCTGCAAGCGGACGTTTGAAGCGCTTTCAGGCCTGTGGTGAAAAAGGAAATATCTTCAAATAAAAACTAGACAGAGGCATTCTCAGAAACTTATTTGCGATGTGTGTTCTCAACTAACAGAGTTGAACCTTTGTTTTGATACAGCATTTTGGAAACACTCTTTTTGTAGGATCTGCAGGTGGATATTTGGATAGCTTTGAAGGTTTCGTTGGAAAGGGGAATATCTTCATATAAAATCAACACAGAAGCCTTCTCAGAAACTTCTCTGTGATGTTTGCATTCAACTCATACAGTTGAACACTTCCTTTCATAGAGCTGGTTTGAAATTCTCTTTTTGTAATATTTGGAAGTGGACATCGGCAGCGCTTTGAAGCCTATGGTTAAAAAGGAGATATCTTCTCCTAAAAACCAGACAGAAGCATTCTCAGAATCTTTCTTGTGATGTGTGTACTCAAGTAACAGAGTTGAACCTTCAATTTTGACAGAGCAGTTTTGAAGCACTCTTTTTGTAGAATCTGCAAGTGGATATTTTGATACCTTTGAGGATTTCGTTGGACACGGGATATCTTCATATAAAATCTAGACAGAAGCATTCTCAGAAACTTCTTTGTGCTGTATGTCCTCAATTAACAGAGTTGAACCTTTGTGTCGATACAGCATTTTGGAAACATTCCTTTAGTAGAATCTGCAAGTTGATATTTAGATAGCTAGGAAGATTGCCTTGGAAACGGGAATATCTTCATATAAAATCTAGCCGGAAGCATTCTCAGAAAGTGCTTTGTGATGTTTGCATTCAAGTCACAGAGTTGAATATTCCCTTTTATAGAGCAGGTTTGAAACACTCTTTTTGCACTACCTGGAAGTGGACATTTGGAGCGCTTTGAGGCCTATGTTGAAAAAGGAAATATCTTCCCATAAAAACTAGACAGAAGCATTCTCAGAAACTTGTTTGTGATGTGTGTATTCAACTAACAGAGATGAACCTTTCTTTTTACAGAGTAGTTTTGAAACACTCTTTTTGTGGAATCCGAAAGTGGATATTTGGATAGCTTTGAGGATTTCGTTGGAAACGGGATTACATATAAAATCTAGGGAGAAGCATTCTCAGGAACTTCTTTGTGATGTTTGCATTCAAGTCACAGAACTGAACATTCCCTTTCATAGAGCAGGTTTGAAACACTCTTTCTGTAGTATCTGCAAGC
>NT_187479.1:0-970 GCF_000001405.40 Homo sapiens | reverse complement strand
AGGTTCAACTCTGTTATTGAGGACATACAGCACAAAGAAGTTTCCGAGAATGCTTCCGTCTAGATTTTATATGAAGATATTCCCGTTTCCAAGGAAATCTTCCTATCTAAGTATCAACTTGCAGATTCTACTAAAGGAGTGTTTCCAAAATGCTGTATCCACACAAAGGTTCAACTCTGTTAATTGAGGACATACAGCACAAAGAAGTTTCTGAGAATGCTTCTGTCTAGATTTTATATGAAGATATCCCGTTTCCAAAGAAATCCTCAAAGGTATCCAAATATCTACTTCCAGATTCTACAAAAAGACTGTTTCAAAACGGCTCTGTCAAAAGTAAGGTTCAACTCTGTTACTTGAGTACACACATCACAAGGAAGTTTCTGAGAATGCTTCTGTCTGGTTTTTAGGAGAAGATATTTCCATTTTCAACATAGGCTTCAAAGCGCTGCCAATGTCCACTTCCAAATATTACAAAAAGAGTATTTCAAACCAGCTCTATGAAAGGAAGTGTTCAACTCTATGAGTTGAATGCAAACATCGCAGAGAAGTTTCTGAGAATGCTTCTGTGTTGATTTTATATGAAGATATTCCCGTTTCCAACGAAACCTTCAAACCTATCCAAATATCCACCTGCAGATCCTACAAAAAGAGTGTTTCCAAAATGCTGTATCAAAACAAAGGTTCAACTCTGTTAGTTGAGGACACACATCGCAAATAAGTTTCTGAGAATGCTTCTGTCTAGTTTTTATTTGAAGATATTTCCTTTCTCACCATAGGCCTGAAAGCGTATGAAATGTCCGTTTGCAGATACTACAGAAAGAGTGTTTCAAACCTGCTCTATGAAAGGGAATGTTCAGTTCTGTGACTTGAATGCAAACATCACAAAGAAGTTCCTGAGAATGCTTCTCTCTAGATTTTATATGTAATCCCGTTTCCAACGAAATCCTCAAAGCTATCCAAATATCCACTT
>NT_187478.1:0-1216 GCF_000001405.40 Homo sapiens | reverse complement strand
GAGTGTTTCAAACATGCTCTATGAAAGGGAATGTTCAGTTCTGTGACGTGAATGCAAACATCACAAAGAAGTTCCTGAGAATCCTTCTCTCTAGGTTTTATATGTAATCCCGTTTCCAACGAAATCCTCAAAAGCTATCCAAATATCCACTTTCAGATTCCACAAAAAGAGTGTTTCAAAACTGCTCTGTAAAAAGAAAGATTCATCTCTGTTAGTTGAATACACACATCACAAACAAGTTTCTGAGAATGCTTCTGTCTAGTTTTTATGGGAAGATATTTCCTTTTTCAACATAAGACTCAAAGCGCTCTAAATGTCCACCTCCAGGTAGTGCAGAAAGAGTGTTTCAAACCTGCTCTATAAAAGGCAATATTCAACTCTGTGACTTGAATGCAAACATCACAAAGCACTTTCTGAGAATGCTTCCGTCTAGATTTTATGTGAAGATATTCCCGTTTCCAAGGAAATCTTCCTAGCTATCTAAATATCAACTTGCAGATTCTACTAAAGGAACGTTTCCAAAATGCTGTTTCCAAACAAAGGTTCAACTCTGTTAATTGAAGACATACAGCACAAAGAAGTGTCTGAGAATGCTTCTGTCTAGATTTTATATGAAGATATCCCGTGTCCAACGAAATCCTCAAAGGTATCCAAATATCCACTTGCAGATTCTACAAAAAGAGTGCTTCAAAACTGCTCTGTCAAAAGGAAGGTTCAACTCTGTTACTTGAGTACACACATCACAAGAAAGATTCTGAGAATGCTTCTGTCTGGTATTTAGGAGAAGATATCTCCTTTTTCACCATAAGCTTCAAAGCGCTGCCAATATCCACTTCCAAATATTACAAAAAGAGTATTTCAAACCAGCTCTATGAAAGGAATTGTTCAACTCTATGAGTTGAATGCAAACATCACAGAGAAGTTTCTGAGAATGCTTCTGTCTTGATTTTATATGAAGATATTCCCGTTTCCAACGAAACCTTCAAAGCTATCCAAATATCCACCTGCAGATTCTACAAAAAGAGTGTTTCCAAAATGCTGTATCAAAACAAAGGTTCAACTCTGTTAGTTGAGAACACACATCGCAAATAAGTTTCTGAGAATGCTTCTGTCTAGTTTTTATTTGAAGATATTTCCTTTTTCACCACACGCCTGAAAGCGCTTGAAACGTCCGCTTGCAGATACTACAGAAAGAGTGTTTCAAACCTGCTCTATG
>NT_187477.1:0-1880 GCF_000001405.40 Homo sapiens | reverse complement strand
AAAGGAAATATCTTCTCCTAAAAACCAGACAGAAGCATTCTCAGAAACTTCCTTGTGATGTGTGTACTCAAGTAACAGAGTTGAACCTTACTTTTGACAGAGCCGTTTTGAAACAGTCTTTTTGTAGAATCTGGAAGTAGATATTTGGATACCTTTGAGGATTTCTTTGGAAACGGGATATCTTCATATAAAATCTAGACAGAAGCATTCTCAGAAACTTCTTTGTGCTGTATGTCCTCAATTAACAGAGTTGAACCTTTGTGTGGATACAGCATTTTGGAAACACTCCTTTAGTAGAATCTGCAAGTTGATATTTAGATAGCTAGGAAGATTTCCTTGGAAACGGGAATATCTTCATATAAAATCCAGACGGAAGGATTCTCAGAAACTGCTTTGTGATGTCTTGATTCAAGTCACAGAGTAGAATGTTCCCTTTTATAGAGCAGGTTTGAAACACTCTGTGCACTACCTGGAAGTGGACATTTGGAGCGCTTTGAGGCCTATGTTGAAAAAGGAAATATCTTCCCATAGAAACTAGACAGAAGCATTCTCAGAAACTTGTTTGTGATGTGTGTATTCAACTAACAGAGATGAACCTTTCTTTTTACAGAGCAGTTTTGAAACACTCTTTTTGTGGAATCTGAAAGTGGATATTTGGATAGCTTTGAGGATTTCGTTGGAAACGGGATTACATATAAAATCTAGGGAGAAGCATTCTCAGGAACTACTTTGTGATGTTTGCATTCAAGTCACAGAACTGAACATTCCCTTTCATAGAGCAGGTTTGAAACCCTCGTTCTGTGGTATCTGCAAGCGGACGTTTCAAGCGCTTTCAGGCCTGTGGTGAAAAAGGAAATATCTTCAAATAAAAACTAGACAGAAGCATTCTCAGAAACATATTTGCGATGTATGATCTCAACTAACAGAGTTGAACCTTTGTTTGGGTACAACATTTTGGAAACACTCTTTTTGTAGAATCTGCAAGTGGATATTTGGATAGCTTTGAAGGTTTCGTTGGAAACGGGAATATCTTCATATGAAATCAAGACAGAAGCATTCTCAGAAACTTCTCTGTGATGTTTGCATCAGCTCATAGAGTTGAACCCTTCCCTTCATACAGCAGGTTTGAAACACTCTTTTTGTAATATTTGGAAGTGGACATTTGCAGCGCTTTGAGGCCTATGTTGAAAAAGGAAATATCTTCTCCTAAAAACCAGACAGAAGCATTCTCAGAAACTTCCTTGTGATGTGTGTACTCAAGTAACAGAGTTGAACCTTCCTTTTGACAGAGCAGTTTTGAAGCACTCTTTTTGTAGAATCTGCAAGTGGATAGTTTGATACCTTTGAGGATTTCGTTGGACACGGGATATCTTCATATAAAATCTAGACAGAAGCATTCTCAGAAACTTCTTTGTGCTGTATGTCCTCAATTAACAGAGTTGAACCTTTGTGTGGATACAGCATTTTGGAAATATTTCTTTAGTAGAATCTGCAAGTTGATATTTAGATAGCTAGGAAGATTTCCTTGGAAACGGGAATATCTTCATATAAAATCTAGACAGAAGCATTCTCAGAAAGTGCTTTGTGATGTTTGCATTCATGTCACAGAGTTGAATATTCCCTTTTATAGAGCAGGTTTGAAACACTCTTTCTGCACTACCTGGAAGTGGACATTTGGAGCGCTTTGAGGCCTATGTTGAAAAAGGAAATATCTTCCCATAAAAACTAGACAGAAACATTCTCAGAAACTTGTTTGTGATGTGTGTATTCAACTAACAGAGATGAACATTTGTTTTTACAGAGCAGTTTTGAAACACTCTTTTTGTGGAATCTGAAGTGGATATTTGGATAGCTTTGAGGATTTCGTTGGAAACGGGATT
>NT_187476.1:0-1143 GCF_000001405.40 Homo sapiens | reverse complement strand
GTTTCGTTGGAAACGGGAATATCTTCATATGAAATCAAGACAGAAGCATTCTCAGAAACTTCTCTGTGATGTTTGCATTCAACTCATAGAGTTGAACACTTCCCTTCATACAGCAGGTTTGAAACACTCTTTTTCTAATATTTGGAAGTGGACTTTTGCAGCGCTTTGAGGCCTATGTTGAAAAAGGAAATATCTTCTCCTAAAAACCAGACAGAAGCATTCTCAGAAACTTCCTTGTGATGTGTGTACTCAAGTAACAGAGTTGAACCTTCCTTTTGACAGAGCAGTTTTGAAGCACTCTTTTTGTAGAATCTGCAAGTGGATATTTTGATACCTTTGAGGATTTCGTTGGACACGGGATATCTTCATATAAAATCTAGACAGAAGCATTCTCAGAAACTTCTTTGTGCTGTATGTCCTCAATTAACAGAGTTGAACCTTTGTGTGGATACAGCATTTTGGAAACATTCCTTTAGTAGAATCTGCAAGTTGATATTTAGATAGCTAGGAAGATTTCCTTGGAAATGGGAATATCTTCATGTAAAATCAAGACAGAAGCATTCTCAGAAACTTCTCTGTGATGTTTGCATTCAACTCACAGAGTTGAACACTTCCTTTCATAGAGCTGGTTTGAAATACTCTTTTTGTAATATTTGGAAGTGGACATTGGCAGCGCTTTGAAGCCTATGGTGAAAAAGGAGATATCTTCTCCTAAAAACCAGACAGAAGCATTCTCAGAATCTTTCTTGTGATGTGTGTACTCAAGTAACAGAGTTGAACCTTCATTTTGACAGAGCAGTTTTGAAGCACTCTTTTTGTAGAATCTGCAAGTGGATATTTTGATACCTTTGAGGATTTCGTTAGACACGGGATATCTTCATATAAAATCTAGACAGAAGCATTCTCAGAAACTTCTTTGTGCTGTATGTCCTCAATTAACAGAGTTGAACCTTTGTGTGGATACAGCATTTTGGAAACATTCCTTTAGTAGAATCTGCAAGTTGATATTTAGATAGCTAGGAAGATTTCCTTGGAAACGGGAATATCTTCATATAAAATCTAGACGGAAGCATTCTCAGAAAGTGCTTTGTGATGTTTGCATTCAAGTCACAGAGGTGAATATTCCCTTTTATAGAGCAGGTG